>NC_000003.12:124766180-124917695 GCF_000001405.40 Homo sapiens | reverse complement strand
TGCTGAAGCCCATTACATTTTTTGGGCTCCCTTTTGAGATGATTGTGCCTAAAAATGGAATTTGATTCATGTTTTGGATTTTTCTTGATTGTTCTGAGGACCCAAGGTGGCTGCAAACATTGCTTAAATAGGTTGGCTATATTTTCAGGCTTCTGCATTTATTCGAGAGTCAAAATGAAATTTTAGCTGGGCACGGTGGCGCGTGCCTGTGGTCCCAGCTACTTGGGAGACTGAGGCGGCAGGATAAGCTGAGCCCAGGAGGTCTAGGCTGCAGTAAGACGTGATCTCACCACCGCACTCCAGCCTGGTGACAGAGCAAGACCCTGTCTCAAAAAAAAAAAAATGTCAAAAAGGTGTATAGAAAAAAACATTTAGACAACAAAAATATATCCTGAGGCTTAAAAGCACAGAGCGACAAATCAGATAGTGAATGTTTTTAAAAGTCATTTTTCCCCCTGTTTCAGTGATTGTATCACTTGATTCATTTTGGACAATGAAATAATTAAACTTGGCACAGCTGTGCTTAGGGCTCCGAACTGCAGTGCTGATTAGAGAGAGAGAGAGAGAGACAGTGACAATGTCTTGCTCATGGCAGGCACTTCATATTGCTGGTAGGATTTGCTCATGTTTCCCGCAGCCCCGGCCCTCTTTGTTTCAGTTCTCCTCTGGGTCGTGTGTGTCCAGGCCCAATCATGTTCCCACTCTGAAACTGCCTGCTGACTTCCTGGTCCTTTCTGGGAGTGATCCAGGCTCTCTATGGCTGGTTACTGCTTTCTCCATGCAGAGGGAGGGACACGCGCCCCTCTGTCTCTCCCAAAGAACCAGACTGAGATTTAACAGCTGCTGTCCTACAGAAAGTGACAATTTCCCATTTCAGGTATTACTTGTTCTAATTCTGGTTAGCTCTAGGCTCCTAGATCCTTAAAATGTGATTCATAATTTTTCCAAAAATGGTTATCCACAATTTTCCTAAGTTTTCTCCAACAGAACATTGTTTTCACCATAGGTTTCCTCTGAATACACATCAAATAGAGACCTCCAAGCCTGTACATTGCCATCTTTTTGCAGCCCCCGGCCTCCATATGTGGGTCCGAATCATAGGGACAGGACAGCGGGTCAGGACTAGGGCCGGGAGATTCGGGAGTCTGGGAGATTAGAATTATTTGTTGATTCTTCAGTTCAATTCATTAAGTGACAGATTCATCTCATTTTTAGCACATCTCTGTCACCAAGATCTGAAATGCGTGCTGATGACAAGTTTGTTAATGTAACAATAGTAACAATTTTGGCAGAAACCACAAGTGACAATGAGAAGACTGTGACTGAGAAAATTAATAAAGCAATTAGAAGTAGCTCAAGCAACTTTCTAAACTATGATTGTAAGTATTGTATAATTTTATTCAAAGTTCACCTGAAGACCTACCTACCTTTTTTGTAAACCTTTTCATTATATGTGAAAAGGAGACAAGAACTGCATCATTGAACTGACAACTGTCTCTAAATTTCTTTTTATCCAATTCTTCTTCCCTTTTCTTGTTCGCTTGCCCTCTGCTTCTTTCCAACCATGTCCCAAGTCATCAAACTGACCAGTGTGTTCCTCTCTACGAAGGTATAAATGACCAGACAAACCACTGCTGGGCAGGGAAAGAAAAAGGAGAAACAACAGGGCTTTATGTCAGGTTAAAGATTTCCAAATGATTACAGAAAATTTTACCTGTGGCTGGGTGTGGTGGCTCATGCCTGTAATCCCAACACTTTGGAAGGCTGAGATGGGCGGATTCCTTGAGCCCAGGAGTTTGAGACCAGCCTGGGCAACATGGCAAAATCCCATCTCTACAAAAAATTAGCCAGGTGTGGTGGTGCAGGTCTGTGGTCTCAGCTACTTGGGAGGCTGAGGTGGGAGGATTGCATAAGCCCAGGAGGTTGAGGCTGCAGTGAGCTGAGATCACGACACCACACTCCAGCCTGAGCAATAGAGCAAGACCAAGCATTACCCGTACTATTTTCCCCTTTAGACACACACGAACCCACCATGTAGCTGTAGCAATTTGCGTTTGCTGTGTTACGAAGGTAGTGGCCAAAAACAACCATCATTTATTTACTGCAACCCTAGAATTCTATGGGTCTGAATTTGAGCTGGGCTCAAGTGGATAGTGTGCTGATCTGGGCCAGGCTTAATTGATCTCTGCTGGGCTCACTTAAGCATCTGCCATTAGCTGCTGGGTATAAATGGTTTGTCTCTGCTCCACATGGTCTCTTATCAGCAGACCCATCCAAAGGATTTCAAGAGCAGCAAGAGGGTAAGATTCAATGCACAAATATTTCTCAAGTCTCTGCTTACATCACAGTTACAACTGTCCAATTGGCTAAAGCAATTCGCATTACCAAGCACAGTGTGGAAGGGCCCTGCCCAAGGGGTACAGAAAGGTGTGAGTAAATTGATGTCATGACTGCAGTCAACCCACCATAACAGTCATCAGAAGTTCCTCACCCCAGAGGTGACCCACTGGGGCCAGTCCCGGGAAGAGGTGTTTGCAGCTGGTTCTCAGTCCTGGTTGCCAAATCCAGAATCCTCTGTTGAGCCACAACTTATTTGACTTTTCTATAGCATTTGACACTAGTATCCTTCCCTTCTAGATGTTCCCTTCTTCCTGGGCCCGCATCCACCATTCTCCTAATCGCCTTCGTGCCTCCCTCATCCTTCTTTTTGCTCCTTCTAAGACTCCTTTCTTCATCTCTTAAGTGTTTGCTTTTTTGTTTGTTCATTTGTTTGTCAGGGTCTCACACTGTTGCCCAGGCTGGAGTGCAGTGGGATGATCTTGGCTCACCACAACCTCCAACTCCCGGGTTCAAGCGATTCTCCTGCCTCAGCCTCTCGAGTAGCTGGGATTATAGGCATGTGCCACCACGCCCAGCTAATTTTTGTATTTTTAGTAGAGACGGTTTTCGCCATTTTGGCTGGGCTGGTCTCGAACTCCTGACCTCAGGTGATCTGCCCGCCTTGGCCTCCCAAGGTGCTGGGATTACAGGTGTGAGCCACCATACCTGGCCGGAAAACACTTTCCTGTTCTCCGGCTTCAGTGGCAAAGATAAATTGTTTTCTTTGCCCAAAATTGTAGAATCTCTTGCTCTAGGCTTTTAATCAGAGGCATTTTCATGTGGCAGGTGATGAAGGAGGCTCAGTTACAGTTTGGGATGTTTAGTAGAGAGGAGCCATATGACTCTACCTACTCCTATTCTCTCCCCCACTCCATTCTCAGACTCATCATTTTTTTTTTTCTCCCCGAGACGGATTCTTGCTCTGTCACCCAGAGCTGGAGTGCAATGGCACGATCTCGGCTCACTGCAACCTCCGCCTCCTAGGTTCAAGCAATTCCCCTGCCTCAGCCTCCTGAGTAGCTGATATTACAGGCACATGCCACCACACCCAGCGAATTTTTGTATTTTTAGCAGAGATGGGGTTTCACCATGTTGGTCAGGCTGGTCTCAAACTTCTGACCTCGTGATCCACCAGCCTCGGCCTCCCAAAGTGCTGAGATTACAGACGTGAGCCACCACACCCAGCCCAGACTCATCTTTTAACCCTAATGCCTTCCAACCCATTTTTATTTCTTTATTTATTTTTATTTATATTTTGAGACAAGGTCTCACTCTCGCTCAAGTTGGAGTGCAGTGGCATGATCATGGCTCACTGTAACCTTGAACTTCTGGGCTCAAGTGATCCTCCCACTCCAGTCTCCTGAGTAGCTGGGACTACAGGAGCTTGCCACCATGCCCAGCTAACTTTTAAATATTTTCACTGTGTTGCCCAGGCTGGTCTTGAACTCCTAGGCTCAAACGATACTCCTGCCTTGGCCTTCTAAAGTGCTGGGATTACAGTTGTGAGCCACTGCACTTGGCCCCAAAACTTATTAAAAGGCAAAGTATAACAGCAATGGGGTGGGGTAATTTTCACAAATTACCTTATCCATATTGTCATGCTGAATATATTTTTAAACTATTTGTGCTTCTCAGTGACCCTTCGGTGTGATTATTATGGCTGTAACCAGACTGCGGATGACTGCCTCAATGGTTTAGCATGCGATTGCAAATCTGACCTGCAAAGGCCTAACCCACAGAGCCCTTTCTGCGTTGGTAAGTGTTTCACCTGCTTCTAAATGTTCTTCATAACATCACTTTCTCTTCTTTTGCAACATAAAAAATTCACTCCTTTAGTTTCCACATGCATTTCAGAGTCCGAGTGATCTGACTTCTGACTTTAGACATATGGACCATGGCTGGGACCTTTGCTAGCCCATGTCCAGCTTCACAGGGGGCACATCATGTGTGGAGTCAATAAGCATCTCATTTTACCTAGAAAAAGCAATGTGAAAGACACTGTCATGTTGTCACATGTGACTTTGGGGTTAAAGAGATTGTTTCTGAAAATTACCCAGAAATCATTCTGTTTTGAAGCTTCCAGTCTCAAGTGTCCTGATGCCTGCAACGCACAGCACAAGCAATGCTTAATAAAGAAGAGTGGTGGGGCCCCTGAGTGTGCGTGCGTGCCCGGCTACCAGGAAGATGCTAATGGGAACTGCCAAAAGTAAGAAAAATAACTTTGTTTTTGTCTTGCCACAGCTGGAGCTAGGCAAAGTAGAGAGACCTTACAACACGTATATAGGTGTTGAGTCAGGAAGCTGGTAAGCTGTCATAGGTTGGTAGAGACAGCATCCTCATCATTGTCATCATCAATAGTTTTTTTTTTTTTTTTTTTTTTTGAGATGGAGTCTCACTCTGTCCCCCAGGCTACAGTGCAATGGTGCAATCTCGGCTCACTGCAACCTCCACCCCCCAGGTTCAAGTGATTCTCCTGCCTCAGCCTCCCGAGTAGCTGGGATTACAGGTGCCTGCCACCCTGTCCAGCTAATTTTTGTATTTTTAGTGGAGACGGGGTTTCATCATCTTGGCCAGGCTGGTCTTGAACTCCTGACCTCATGATCCACCTGCTTCGGCCTCCCAAAGTGCTGGGATTACAGGCGTGAGCCACCATGCCCAGCATCATCAATAGTTTTTGAGCATTCTCTATGCTCCAGGAAACACACTAGGTAATACCTATCACACAGCAACATTGTCAGGAATGTCTTAATTTCCATTTTCAGGTGAGGAAACTGAAACTGATTGTAAATAACATCCTCCAGCTCACAGGGCAACAAATAAGTGGCAGAGCCATGTGGCGTCACAGCCTGAGATGGTCCCACTACCCTCCATGCCTCTTGGGTTCAGCTTTGCCTGAACTGCAGAATCTTCCTGAAGCCCGGAGGATGGAGTGTTCAGTCAGTAGCAAATGAGCCTGCATGAGATTGCGTACCCCCCTCACCCTTCCAGAACCCCATGGAAGGTGGTCTCCTGGAAGAATGAGAGTGTAAGGAAGGCAAAAGAAAGAGGAAAAAAAGCAAGGGAGGACAGAATAAAAGGAAGATGGAAAGGAAGAGGTGGAGATTGGGGTGGGAACTCTGACATGCTCCCCACAGGGGCTCTTTAACACTGTTTCCTATTGCTCACTGTATTTCAGGTGTGCATTTGGCTACAGTGGACTCGACTGTAAGGACAGTGAGTATGAAAGTCTTGCTATTATAAACAAGTTATTAAACATCTGAGAAATCAATAGTGACCCCATTCAACATCCTGCCCAGTCCTTCAAAGTCTCTGTCCTCTTTCATAAAGAGAGAGACCATCTGCCTCCAGTTTGCCTTCTGGGTCCTGCCATGCCATGCCCACCCTTAGGTTATGAACAGCAGCCCCTCTGCCATAGAAAATAACAGAACTCAGCACCAGGAGTGGGCTGGCACCTCTGGACTTGCTTGAGACCAGAGAAGGGCATCTTAGCATTATGTTGATTTCCTGCATTAGCTTACATATGCATTATCTGCTGCTACTAGAGATAAAAGACCAGTAATTCCAAAAATTCTGGTGGTTATAGAAGAGCAGACCTAGAAACCAGACATTTAAATACTCAAATCCTTTTGTCTCAGAGCTATTTACTGGTTTGGGATATTTTGCTGCAAATTCAAATTCTGTACCCTCCCATGCCCCACCCCCACCAGATTAAGACAATACTAACTTTAAATTTTCAATTATTTTATATTCTAAAATTTACATAATGAACTAAAGATCAGTCTTCCAAGATGAAGGAAATATTACTGTCAGCCTTCCTGCCAGCCATGAAGATAGTGATGAGTGACATTCTCCATTTCTACTGTATTTTATTGCAAGGAATAATTTGCTAAGTCTTTCTTCAGGGCTTTCAATTTCCACATCTATAAAATGAGAAGTTTGGACCAGACAAACTTTGAGGTCTTTCCCAGATTTGCCAGTCTGTGGCCCCATGAATTCACATTAAAGGCAGCATTTGGGGAAGCCATATAGCAGAAAGAGACGAAGAGGTCTAGAGCAGTGTTGTGCAATAGAAATATTATGTGAGCTACACATTTCATTTGAAATTTTAGAAATTTCAAGTAAATTGTTAGAAGTAAAAAGAAACAGATGAGGTTGATTTTAAGAACATATTTTATTTAATCTATATATCCAAAATATCATTTCAACATGGAATCAATAAAAAAAGATAAACCAATTCTCTCACATTTTTTTCACATGAAGTGTTTGCAATCTGGTGTGTCTGTTACATTGTGTCTCATAGCCGCAGTCAAGTGTCAATAGTGCCAACCAGGGCAGAGTTAGGAGAGGAGAATGGGTGATAATGAACGTCTAGACTCTTCCCTCATTGATGTTATTATCAAGCCATTAGCTGGCTCCTCTAGCAGTGACATTTAACTCCAACCTAGTTTCCTTAGCTTATCAGTAAGGTGAGGTATGGAGGGCAGGCAAAGGCAGCAGAGGTAAGGAGGGAGGTGTGGCCCTCAGCTGATACTCCACTCCCCACAAAGTCCAGGAAGACCCTGCCACCATCCTTTGTATTTACAGTGTTTTGTCTGGCAGGGCTGCCCTTTCCAATTGAGTTCTGAAGACACAGTTTAGGAGGTGTGAGGAGGGAATGCTAAAGGAAATAGGCCAACTACCCAACCTGGCCTGGAGGGTTGGAGACCAGAACCTGATCGTCTTCACAGCTAGGAGTCCCTGGGAATACACGAACCTGTGCAGTAGACAGTTGGGGGCCAGCTTGTTGGAGACTGTTCTTATTTTCTTCTTCCTTTCAGAATTTCAGCTGATCCTCACTATTGTGGGCACCATCGCTGGCATTGTCATTCTCAGCATGATAATTGCATTGATTGTCACAGCAAGGTATGGGATGAAAGTGTCCTTTTTAAATTTTTTTTTTTTATAGAGAGATGGGGGGGTCTCACTATGTTGCCCATGTTGGTCTCGAACTCCTGAACTCAAGCCATCCTCCCACCTTGGCCTCCCAAAGTGCTGGGATTACAGGCATGAGCCATCACACCTGCCAGAAGTGGCCTTTTCCTGCGGCACAGGACCACCAGCATGACACTCTCTAGTTTCCAAACATACTCATCCTCTCCTGGGCAAGAGAAGGGAGATAAGGAGAGGCCTTTCTAGTACCACTGACTTTTTTTCCTTACCTTAATTGTCTTCTTATTATATAGGCAATAGCAGGACCATGGAAGAAAATCAAGAAAATAGAGAAGTGGGTAAAGGGGCGGAATTTAAAAATCACTCACAAAACCCACCATGCTGAGGCAACTAACATTTTGAGATATAACCTTCCAGATTTATTTCTATCTTTTAAAATAATATTATATACATAATTTTGTGTCTTTTGTGTTTTTAAAATTTTGGATTGAGGTTTTTTTTGGTTTAACACCGTAAGATGACATAGCAACCATTTCCTTATGTCATTAAAAACTCTTTGTTAATGTAATAATATTTAACTCCACTGAAGTTGTCAAATACAATTTTCATCAGGTCACTTCCCTGTCCAGGACTCTGCTGCAAATGGTCTAAAATCAACCTCAACTGAACCCCCTGGGTTGTTGTTTTTTTTTAACTTTTTTTAAGAAAGTTTATCACGTTAGCCGGGCATGGTGGTGGCACCCCTGTAATCCTGCTACTCAGGAGGCTGAGGCAGGAGAATTCCTTGAACTGGGAGGCAGAGGTTGCAGTGAGCCAAGATTACCCCACTGCACTCCAGCCTGGGTGACAGAGCAAGACCCTGTCTCACATACACACACACACACACACACACACACACACACGCAAGCACACACGTGTCATCTCTGCATGGCTATTAGCTTGGTGCCTTAAGGTCTCTTCTCTTAAGGAAGGGGCACTAGAGTTCATTCATTCAACAAATATTTAGATAGACTAAAGTCCCCCCATTAACAGGGAGGCAAATGCTGTGATCTTTTTCCCATTCTCAATGTGCCAAGTGGGGATCCACTTTGATTTTTTAAAGCTACTGTTTTCTAACATTTAGTTCATATCTTATATTTTGGCAAAATAGGTAGTTTTCCACTATAATGTGACAGGATAAACAGATTTTAGGTTCCTACAATATTTTGTTCTTGTTTTTTCTCTTTTTTTTTTTGAGACAGAGTCTTGGTCTGTCGCCCAGGCTGGAGTGCAGTGGCATGATCTTGGCTCGCTGCAACCTCCACCTCCCAGGTTCAAGCGATTCTCCCGCCTCGGCCTCCCGAGTAGCTGGGACTAGAGGCACATGCCACTGTGCCTGGTTAATTTTTGTATTTTTAGTGGAGACGAGGTTTCACCATGTTAGCCAGGCTGGTCTCGAACTCCTGGCCTCAAGTGATCTGCCCACCACGGCCTCCCAGAGTGCTGGGATTACAGAGGTGAGCCACCAAGCCCAGCCTCGTTTCAAGTCTTTGAACTTGTTTTACTCATTTTACCCACCAACGTGATTCTTAGATGTTGACTTTGCTGAATGAAATGCTGTATCTCAAATTATTTTCTAATATTATGAGCAAAATATGAATGAGGCCAGTGGAATTAGATTGTTATGTTGGATCAGCATTGAAGTCCAGGTTTTGTCGCTACACAGAGCTCATGACCTTAAACTTAGGAAACCTACACTGAATAAAATAATGAAGTGCTTTATTTCATTATTTGTGGGGCATCAAGTCTGCAACTTATTCTTTCATAAAACTGTTAGTGTTCTTTGGTTATGCAACTTATTCTTAATTGGTTCAGAAATGTTAATAATTAGGGAATCTGGGTGATAAGTGTGTGAGAACGCCGTAATATATGTATTTTGTAACTTACAAATAAATGTGAGATTATTTCAGAATTTAAAAATATTTTTAAAAAGAACATTAACATTTACTTCAAGAAACTTTCTGCCATTGTCAAATCCTAATTCCTCTTACTGATTACAGATCAAATAACAAAACGAAGCATATTGAAGAAGAGAACTTGATTGACGAAGACTTTCAAAATCTAAAACTGCGGTCGACAGGCTTCACCAATCTTGGAGCAGAAGGGAGCGTCTTTCCTAAGGTCAGGATAACGGCCTCCAGAGACAGCCAGATGCAAAATCCCTATTCAAGACACAGCAGCATGCCCCGCCCTGACTATTAGGTGAGTCAGTGGGCTTTTTCTCCTGCTTTTGGGAGTGAATGCACCAGGGCAGAGCAGAGACCTGGTTGCTGAATCTTCAATCCTTGGCTGCCCCGCAGGCTTTCTTTTTCTTTTTCTTAATTGAAAGAGAGAGAGAGAGAGAGATCAAAAAGGAAGTTCCCTGCTGTCGTAACTCTGAGCATCTATGTGACTACAGACACATCACTTAATTTCCCTGGCCTTTGATTTTCTCATCTGTAAAAAGGTCAGCTTAATTTAGATACCCCTAAGGTCCCTTTAGATTACCAACTCCATGAATACGACTCCAGAGATTATGATGATGACACTTCTCAGGCTGTTTGAAGACCTAGGTCCTCAGCCAGGACCAGGGAAGGACACTGGATGTAAACATAGTTCTGTGGGATCCTTTTCACCAGGCTGTGTAAAGGCAACGCTCTCTTTCCCTGCCGCTTGATCTCAAGGCAACTCTCTCTCTCTCTCTCTCTCTCTATATATATATATAAGTTCTATTTGTTGTTGTTGTTGTTTTGAGACAGGGTCTCACTCTGTCACCCAGACTTGAGTCCAGTGGTACGATCTTGGCTCACTGTAGCCTCAACCTCCTGGGCTTAAGTGATCCTCCTACCTCAGCCTCCCAAGTAGCTGGGACTACAGGCACATGCCGCTATGCCTGGCTAATTTTGGTATTTTTTGTAGAGACAGGGGTTTCTGCCATGTTGCCCAGGCTGGTCTCAAATTCCTAAGCTCAAGTGATCCTCTCGCCTCGTCCTTCCAAAGTGCTGGGATTACAGGCATGAGCCACTGAACTGGGCATCAGTCCACTTCTAAAGAGATGAAATGGAACTTAGCTTGTTGGCTCATCCCATACTCCTAGCACTTTGGGAGCCTGAAGCAGGAGAATTGCTTGAGCCCAAGAGTTCGAGACCAGCCTGGGCAAATAATGAGACCCCATTTTTACAAAAAATAATAATAATAAAAGATAGCTTTTTAAAAAAGGAGATAAAGCTAGTTAGGCTGGTGATACTGTATTTCTCTAGGGAGAACTTTCAAGGACAACAGCTTGTACCCACTGGGTTTGTATTGGATAATCATAGCTGTCACTGCTTAGTGTGATTGAATGAAATGTTGAAAGAAGGAAGCCTGTAAGAGACTTTAGGAGGAAGAGTGACAGGAGACAGATGGAAAGAAGGAAGATGGTAAAGGAAGAGGAGAAAGGGAGCTGGGAAAGAGATGGGGAATGGAAGAGACGTGAGAGAAATGATAGGGAGAATATGGGATAAAGCTGAAGAAGACAAATAATGTTAATGAAAGTAATGTTAATAATTTACAGATCTAAACGATCTCATATGTTTCTGTTGGAGTATTTTCTAAGAGTATTGTCTCTCCCTCTCTCTTTCTGTCTAGAATCATAAGAATGTGGAACCCGCCATGGCCCCCAACCAATGTACAAGCTATTATTTAGAGTGTTTAGAAAGACTGATGGAGAAGTGAGCACCAGTAAAGATCTGGCCTCCGGGGTTTTTCTTCCATCTGACATCTGCCAGCCTCTCTGAATGGAAGTTGTGAATGTTTGCAACGAATCCAGCTCACTTGCTAAATAAGAATCTATGACATTAAATGTAGTAGATGCTATTAGCGCTTGTCAGAGAGGTGGTTTTCTTCAATCAGTACAAAGTACTGAGACAATGGTTAGGGTTGTTTTCTTAATTCTTTTCCTGGTAGGGCAACAAGAACCATTTCCAATCTAGAGGAAAGCTCCCCAGCATTGCTTGCTCCTGGGCAAACATTGCTCTTGAGTTAAGTGACCTAATTCCCCTGGGAGACATACGCATCAACTGTGGAGGTCCGAGGGGATGAGAAGGGATACCCACCATCTTTCAAGGGTCACAAGCTCACTCTCTGACAAGTCAGAATAGGGACACTGCTTCTATCCCTCCAATGGAGAGATTCTGGCAACCTTTGAACAGCCCAGAGCTTGCAACCTAGCCTCACCCAAGAAGACTGGAAAGAGACATATCTCTCAGCTTTTTCAGGAGGCGTGCCTGGGAATCCAGGAACTTTTTGATGCTAATTAGAAGGCCTGGACTAAAAATGTCCACTATGGGGTGCACTCTACAGTTTTTGAAATGCTAGGAGGCAGAAGGGGCAGAGAGTAAAAAACATGACCTGGTAGAAGGAAGAGAGGCAAAGGAAACTGGGTGGGGAGGATCAATTAGAGAGGAGGCACCTGGGATCCACCTTCTTCCTTAGGTCCCCTCCTCCATCAGCAAAGGAGCACTTCTCTAATCATGCCCTCCCGAAGACTGGCTGGGAGAAGGTTTAAAAACAAAAAATCCAGGAGTAAGAGCCTTAGGTCAGTTTGAAATTGGAGACAAACTGTCTGGCAAAGGGTGCGAGAGGGAGCTTGTGCTCAGGAGTCCAGCCGTCCAGCCTCGGGGTGTAGGTTTCTGAGGTGTGCCATTGGGGCCTCAGCCTTCTCTGGTGACAGAGGCTCAGCTGTGGCCACCAACACACAACCACACACACACAACCACACACACAAATGGGGGCAACCACATCCAGTACAAGCTTTTACAAATGTTATTAGTGTCCTTTTTTATTTCTAATGCCTTGTCCTCTTAAAAGTTATTTTATTTGTTATTATTATTTGTTCTTGACTGTTAATTGTGAATGGTAATGCAATAAAGTGCCTTTGTTAGATGGTGTCCTTGTGTCTGGGGCTTTTTTTTCATTTCTTTTTCTTTCTTTCTTTTTTTTTTTTTTTTTTTTGAGACACTGTCTTGCTCTGTCACCCAGGCTGGAGTGCAGTAGTGTGAACATGACTCACTGTAGCCTCAAACTCCTGGGTTCAAACAATCCTCCCATATAAGCCTCCTGAGTAGGTGGGGCTACAGAAGTGTGCTGTCATGCCCAGCTAATTTTTTTTTGTTGTTGTTAGAGACAGGGTCTCACTATGTTGCCCAGGCTGAGTTTGGGGGTTTTGATGATGCACACAGCAGTTAGTCTCATTTTAAATAGCAAACGTGACACATGGTAAATGGGAGTGACTGATATCTGCTATCCTTATTAGGGGTTATTGGATTACCCAAGATAACGTTCTACTGCATAGTAGACATTTGCTTCCTCCACGCACATCCCACTCCTACCCCATGATGATGAGCATTTTGGGTGGGGCTGATCCTGCTCCCAGCTACAGAGGTTGGCTCTGGTTGGCTCAAGCCAATCAGCGAAATCCCATGCCTCCTTGCCACAGTAATCGTCCTAAAAGTGAACGTGTGGCATAAGTGGATACAATTAGAATAAAGCCTAAACTTTGGTAGGAAGTTTGGAGAAAGAGAAACTTTCTTCTTCTGGAAAGTGGGCTTGAGGGTGTGAAGTCTTGAACTGCTTCTGTTTTGCTGGGGACAAAGCTGACACACACAGAGGAGAAGAACTGAGAGAACCAGAGAGAAATGGACCTGGCACCTTGATCAAACCATACCTGAAGCCTCTGGAATTTCCTCTGCTACAAGGCCAGTTTGAGTAGTTTTTTCCTGTTATTTGCAGTCAAAAAATCCTCACTGATACCACTTATGTTTATTCTTGTATTCTCATGGCTAAATGGTGAATCACATATAAGAAACATACTCTTATGAGCTATTAATGCCCACACTGAAGACATTAGCCATAAACCAATCAGTTAACAGCAGCAGAGTTATTGCAGGCAGAACTTAAAATTGGCTGGCCACTGTATTTTGTCATCACAGACTCTATTTCTGACCTGCATATTACCCCCTTTGTATTTAAATATGATTCTGGATTCAGTACTAGTAGAAGGCTATTTCTAAAGAGGCCTTTCCCCCTTCCTGATCCCCCTTTGGACCAGAGCATGCCAACTCCTGTCACTTCTCAAAGGTCCTGAGCCATACTAATTCTGGGCTTCCTGGGCCATTCTTCAAAGACTTGCATTGCTATTGTTTGACTAAAAATAATCTCCTAAAGATATATATGTATAATGTTTATGAAAATGGCTTTTGCATTTGGATTCAAAAAGTTCTTTTTGATTATTGTGCAATATGACCTATAATTCATTTGTTTCTGCTTGCTGGTAACTTTGCAAAGGTTCTCTTACTAATTGTTCTGCCACTTTGGAGGGCTGTCAGAGTGAACTTTCTACGATGCATATCTGATTGTGACACTCCCTTGCTTAAGCTTTCAGGGGTCATCCACTGAGAAATAGAGCTCATAGAATAAAGTCAGACTCCTGGTGGCATGGCACTCCTAGACATCCAGTTACTGCCGCTGATTGTGCTGGCTTTGCCTCATGACCCTCCCCACGATGCACTACCACTTTGGCCATACCTGCTGTTTCCTAAACATACCACCTCTTTAATTTATTATTATTATTATTATTTTATTTTATTTTTTTGAGACAAGGTCTGGCTCTGTTGCCCAGCCTGGAGTGCAGTGGTGTGATCTTGGCTCATTGCAAACTGCCTCCCAGGCTTAAACCATCCTCCCACCTCAGCCTCCTGAGTAGCTGGGACTACAGGCACTTGCCACCACACCTGGCTAATTTCTGTGTTTTTGTAGAGACGAGGTTTTGCCATGTCACCAGGCTGGTCTCGAATTCATGAGCTCAAGCAATCCACCTGCCTTGGCCTCCCAAAGTGCTGAGATTACAGACATGAGCCATCGTGCCCAGCCAACATATCATCTCTTCATGCCTCCATTCCTTTGCTCATGCTTTCCCTCTTGCTTTTCCTCATGCTCATGCTTTCCCATTTTGGAATGCCCGTTTCCTTCAACTACCTAATGTCTTAATCTGTTTGAGCTGTATTACAAACTACCACAGACTGAGTGGCTTACAAACAACATAAGTTATTTCTCACAGTTCTGGAGGCTGGGAAGTCCAAGATCAAGGTGTCAGCCAATTTGGTGTCTGGTGAGGACCCAGTTCCTCATAGATGGCCATCTTTTCACTGTAACCTCGCATGTTGGAAGGAGCAAGAGATCTCTCTGGGTTTTTTTTTTTGTTTGTTTTGTTTTTTTGATGGAGTCTTGCTCTGTCACCCAGGCTGGAATACAGTGGTGCGATCTTGGCTTACTGCAACCTCTGCCTCTTGGGTTCAAGCAATTCTCCTGCCTCAGCCTCCCAAGTAGCTGGGACTACTACTGCAGCCATCACGCCCGGCTAATTTTTTGTATATTTAGTAGAGACGAGGTTTCACCATGTTAGCCAGGATGGTCTCTATCTCCTGACCTTGTGATCCACCCGCCTCAGCCTCCCAAAGTGCTGGGATTACAGGTGTGAGCCACTGCGCCTGGCCTGGGGTCTCTTTTATAAGGACATTAATCCCATCCATGAGGGCTCCACCCTCATTAACTAATAACTTCCCAAAGGTCCCACCTCCTAATAGCATCATATCAGGCTTTAGGATTTAATACATGAATCTTGAGGGTACCTAAACATTTAGACCACAGCACCTGATAAATACCTCCATCTGTCTAGATCAACTAAACCATTTTCTCCTCTGGCTACCCCAGTACTCTCAAGTAGAGTTGCCTCCTTCATGTCCCAACTGGTCCTGTAACCAGTTCCCCCAGAGAAGTGGTTGTATCCATGGTTCCTTCTAACCCAGCACAATGCCTGGCATAGAACAAGTATTAAATAATTGTGAAATGGGAGTGTAAAACAGGACTCTTGCAGCTCAACCTTGAAGAATATGATCATTATCTTGATTGTGGCACTGGTTTCACAAGTATACACATGTCAAACATTGTCCAATTGTACACTTTATAAATGTACACTTTGGTGTATGTCAATTATACCTTCACAAAGCTGGGTTTTTTTATTTTTATTTTTTAAGTGGGGAGTGAACTATTATGCAGAGCTGTCTCCAACCTTGAGGGCGGCACCTTCTAGGCACAGCCCTAAGACAGGACGAGAAAACGCACATGTCACACTGCTGGCTTGTCGCATTAGACCGAAGGTCCTCTGAGGTTGGCTTTGGGTGAAACAACAGGAATGGCCCGCTGCCCTGACAGCGGCAGGTCTTAGCTTCACATTGGGATCCCCTGAGGAGGTATAAAAGTTACTGATGCCTGGGTCCCATTCCAGAGCACATCAGTCTAGGGCAGACCTGAGTCTCAGGAGTATTTAAACTCTCACCTGCACGTTTTTTTGTTTTGTTTTGTTTTGTTTTTGTTTTTGACAGAGTCTCCCTCTGTCACCCAGGCTGGAGTGCAGTGGCACGATCATGGCTCATGGCAGGCTCTAACTCCGGCCTCAAGCCATTTTCCCCGCTCAGCCTCCTGAGTAGCTGGGATTCCAGGAGCCACCCGCCACGCCCTGCGCTCCCAGGTGCTTCTAATGTGCGGTGGAGTTTGAGAACCACTGTTTCAGGTCACTGCGTTGGCTAATGGTCCAACTCGAGGTCACATCACATCATTTCCCATTCCTTCCTCCAAGAGTCTAGAAGCCAAGAGTCACATTGTGGACAAGAAGCCCCAGTAAGCTCCAAGTCTCTCTATGGAGAAGGTGACCAGGCATCCAGATTGCATCAACACCAAAACCGTTTGAGGCTGAACTCTTTTGTGCCATTTTGCCCCCAAACCTACCCTGGCCTTCCGCCCCTTTCTGCGGCTGGGCAAATCTCGGGGCCGGTAGGTGGCGCTGTCTCCTATGGCTTGCAGAAAACTCAACTTCCGGCGGGGCGGAGCTTTTAAAAGGCTTTTTTGAAATCATTAACTTTCATTTTATTATTTCTTTTTATCGAGACAGAGTCTCACCCTGTCGCCCAGGCTGGAGTGCAGTGGCGAGATCTCGACTCACTACAACCTCTGCCTCCTGGGATCAAGCGATTCTCCTGCCTCAGCCTCCCGAATAGCTGGGATTACAGGTGAGCACCACCATGCCCGACTAATTTTGTATTTTTAGTAGAGACAGGGTTTCACCATGTTGGCCAAGCTGGTCTTGAACCCCTGACCTCAAGTCATCCTACCGCTTTGGCCTCGCAAAGTGCTGGGATTACAGGTGTGAGCCACCGCACCTGACCTTAAAACCATTAACTTTTAATGCACCATTTCTAAATTTCTCCTTGGACTTTTCCTTGGTTGGTCTCTTTATTCCTTGTTCTTGTGCTAGGGAGAAATGAATGTTACGCTGTTTGCTCTTGTTGAGATATTTGCATCATTTTTACTGAATCATTAGAGATCATATATTGTCCTCTTTATTGCTCTTATAATACATAACCATAAGCAATGTTAATGTCATATTAATGGTGCATAAAGTTTGGTACAATTGTTCAGAGAAATCAATGTTTTATTTAGCGGTGATTGTACAAAATTAAAAAGGAGATAAATCCATTTTCATTGAAAAATTCTTCAGTTAAATAAAAAACAAAATGCCACCCGTGGGAGGTGAGGTGAGCAAGATCTGTCTGGGTTTTCCCTGAGGGTTCTCCGAGAACTCCAGTTTGCCATTAATTGACAATCCACAGTGCAAAAAGCAAGGTTGGAGATTAGGTTGGGGAGAGCCCTGGAAAACATATGGGGGTGTTCTTCTCAGTCTCAGGGCTATGAAATGTGGTGCTTTTATTCAAAGACAGAAGCCTGGGGCAAACCATCAAAGGCCTCATAATTTCTGCAGGCCTGGTAACATTTTTCCTGAGCCCACAATCACGACATGTGGGCCAATAAGGAAATTCTCTGCTACTTCCAGGTGAGAGAGCCAGTTTGAAAATCAACAACAACAATAATATTTCATATATTATGAAGCACTCCCTATATGCCAGGCACAATTCTTGTGCCTCACACATATTAACCCCTTTAATTCTCACGATAATTATGAAGTAGGTACTGTTTTCATGCCTGTTCAATAGTAGGGGAAATAGAGGCAAGTAACTAGTCTGCAGTCACATATCTAGGAAGTGACACAGCCAGGATTTGAGCCAGGCAGTCCGACTCCATTGCCTACCTCTCTGTCATTTAATGTTAAAGTATTAACAGAGGTAATATATTTCAATAGTCAGTAGGAACAATGTGACATATATTTGAAGCTGAGAGTGTCCTGTATTTACCAGGACCTGGTGCCAGATGCAAATAGAGTGGTGGATGAAACACAGGCTTCATCGTCCTGGAGCTCTCAGGTTAATGGCCTTTATTACCAAAAGTGCAAAACTCTTTCTTTACTTATGTCATTGTTCAAATTTCATAAAGTATTCTCATATTCTCTCCAGTAAAGTAACTCATCTAAAACTACCTGCAACATGCCTGCTGCTGCTTTTTTTTTTTTTTTTTTTTTTTTTTTTTTGAGACAGGGTCTTGCTATGCTGGCGAGGCTGGAGTGCAGTGGCATGATCATGGCTCACTGCAGCCCTGACCTCCTGGGCTCAAGCAACCCTCCCACTTCAGCCTCCTGAGTGGTGGGACCACAGGTGAATGCCACCACACCCAGCTAATTTTTAAAATATTTTGGAGCGATGAAGTCTCACTATGCTGCCCAGGCTGGCTATGATCCCTGGGCTCAAGTGATCCTCCCACCTTGGCCTCCCAAAGTGCTTGGATTCCAGGTGTGAGCCACCATGCCTGGCCTGCTTCTCATTTATTACCCCAGATATGACTTCCTCTTTGTTTGGGAACCCTCCAGCTTTTCTATCTTGTGTGAAGGCTCTCCATTCTCTAATCAGCTGTGGTGTCCTGCCCTTATGCAGTGATGGGAGGAATCTTGGAGGCTTCTTTCCTTTTGGTGGAAACAATAGCCTCCTGACTGGGTCCAAGTCAAAAATGAATCCCCACTGGACAGCCAGCCCCTTTGCTGCACCTGAACTTCCTGAGGGAAAATCCTCTGTTTTATTTCTTTGCTATGTAAAAAGCCCTCAACAAAATTTATTGAATGTAAAAATTAAGTCCCTATTTCAATGAAGTGGCATGGCATCCTAGAGCAAAGCGTGTCCTGGAATATGAAAACAAATAAATAGAATCAGGGCTAAGATTTGAAAGCATCTCTTAGCCAGCCCTGAGTAAGGGGTCTTTACCATTTTCTTTCTTTCTTTTTTCTTCTTTTCTTTTTTTTCTTTTCTTTTTTTTTTGAGACAGAGTCTCACTCTTATCACCCAGGCTGGAATGCAATGGCGCAATCTAGGCTCACTGCAACCTCCGCCTCCCTGGTTCAAGTGATTCTCCTGCCTCAGCCTCCCAAGTAGCTGGGATTACAGGCATTTGCCACTTCTCTGGCTAATTTTTGTATTTTTAGTAGAGACAGGGTTTCACCACGTTAGTCAGGCTGGTCTTGAACTCCTGACCTCAGGTGATCCGCCTGCCTCGGCCTCCCAAAGTACTGGGATTACAGGTGTGAGCCAGTGCGCCCGGCCTTTTTTTTTTTTTTTTTTTTAAGACATGGGGTTTTGCGGTTTTGCTGTGTTGACCAGGCTGGTCTCAAACTCCTGGCTTCAAGTGATCCTCCTGCTTCAACCTCCCAAAGTGCTGTCATTTTCTTTTTTTTTTTTTTTTTTTTTTTTTTTGAGACGGAGTCTCGCTGTGTCGCCTAGGCTGGAGTGCAGTTGCACAATCTTGGCTCACTGCAAACTCTGCCTCCCGGGTTCACGCCATTCTCCTGCCTCAGCCTCCCGAGTAGCTGGGACTACAGGTGCCTGCCACCACGCCTGGCTATTTTTTTTGTATTTTTGGTAGAGATGGGGTTTCACTGTGTTAGCCAGGATGGTCTCGATCTCCTGACGTCGTGATCCGCCTGCCTCGGCCTCCCAAAGTGCTGGGATTACAGGCGTGAGCCACCGCGCCCGGCTGTCATTTTCTTAATGAAGAGAATTAACTTACACGATATCCTCTAAATGGTACATAAGTCTCATTCCATAATAGAGTATCTGTCATTTTTAACTAATCATTTTTTGCTGCTGTTATCCACAGTCTCAAGTTAAAAAAAAAAAAAGACCTCAAAGCATCAATACAAATAGATATTTGGACAATGGACCTCACCTGAATATTCTAATCAAGCCACATCTATTATTGCTCATGTGTCTTCCTGATAAGCCCCCTACCCCTACCCCCATAAAGTGGTGATTCAGGTCCTTCCTGTTTTGTTTTCAAGGTCATTACTGCTCTGCATCAATCCAGTAGAAAGCCAAAGAATATAGAGGATTTTGCAAGAGAGATTTTTTTATGAATCAAGTCTGGTATTACTGCACCTCATTTCCCCCCACATCATATTGGCTTAGAACTTGTCACATAACAGCACCCAACACCCCAAGGGAGGCAGGGGGAATATAGAAGAGCTACTTGTCTAGGAAGATAGCACTTTGTGAACAGCTCTCTAGTCTGTTTCTCTCCCTTCCTTCACCTTACAAAATTTCCTTATCCTTTGAGACCCAGCATAAACACCATTATTTATCCCTAACCCTGGAACAGTATTTGTCACATGGTATACACTCAATAAATACTTGTTGGATAAATGCATCATTCCACAAACATTTAAAAAAAAATTTTTCTTTATTTTGTAGAGATGGGGTCTTGCTATGTTGCCTAGGCTGGTCTTGAATCCCTGAGCTCAAGCCCTCCTGCCTCGGCCTCCCAAGTGCTGGGATTACAGGCATGAGCCACTACGCCTAGCCAACAGACACTTTTTTCAGTGCCCACTCTCAGGGAGTTGAGTAATAAGTCAGAGATTAATTACATAAGCAAATAACTTCAACCTCAACTCTTCCAATGGAGGCAAGGACCAAGTTCTCTAAGAACATGAAGGAAGCCAGCTGTGGTGGCTCACACCTGTCATCCCAGTACTTTGGGAGGGCAAGCAGGGAGGATTAATAGAGCCCAGAAGCTCAGGCAACATACTAGGTTGATCAGACTGGGCAACATAGTGAGATCCCACCTCTCCCTCCAAAACAACAATAACAACAAAAACAAACAAAAAAGAAGGACATGGAGGAAAACATTCTGTCAACAGTAGTTCTGGAAGGCTTCACAAAGGAAGCAACATTTGAGCGGGGTATCAAAAGACAAATAGGAGTTTACCAGTCAGAAAAGATCAGGGATAGGGCCTTTGGAGGAAGAAACACAATCTGCAAAGATAAGAATGTATCTGTCTGTGAGGGTGGGAGTAGGGGCCAGGCTCTGAAGGGCTTTGTGAGTTGTGCAATCTGATTCCTGGTCTACTTCAGTATACTTTGATCTTTCAAATATACCTGGTATATGTGCTCTGCCTCCTTTTTCTTTTTAAATTTTTTTTTTTTTTGGCTTTTCTTTTTTCTTTTGTAGAGACAAGGTCTCACCATGTTTCCCAGGCTAGTCTTGAACTCCTGGGCTCAGGTGATCCTCTCACCTCAGCTTCCCAAAATGCTGGGATAACAGGCATGAGCCACGTGCATGCCCAGCTTCTTCTTCTCCCTTTTTTTTTTTTTTTTTAAGACAAGGTCTCACTCTGTGTCCCAGGATGGAGTACAGAGTGGTGCAATCATAGCTCACTATAACCTCGAACTCCTGGGCTTAAGCAATTCTTCCACCTCAGCCTCTCAAGTAGCTGGGACAACATGCATGTCATTACTGTGCCTGGCTAATTTTTCATGAGACGAGCTTTCACCATATTGCCCATGCTGGTCTGTTTCAAGCTCCTGGGCTCAAGCAATCCTCCTGCTTTGGCCTCCCAAAGTGCTGGGATTACAGGCATGAGGCACCACACTCAGCCCCCTACATCTTTTTGAGTTGACTAAAGCCAAGTGTGGTCTCTGAAAGGCTAAGAGTCTGAATGTCTAGTCTAACATAAGAAGAACCCCTAGTGAGCATTGCAGGCATCATGTTTTATATTATGGTCTCTGAAATATTGGAGGGGACAGTGATCAATCTCCACTGAAGCTGGGAGAAGAGGAAACTATCAAATGCCCCTGAGTTACAAGGAATGAAGTATTTCCTGATTGATGATTAAATAATTGGGGTGGATTCGCTAGGAAGCTGATGGAGGCCTCTTGGGACAGCCTTTAAAGAGGAAAGGTGATCATTTTTAGAGTCCACCCGTAAGACAGGCCCTCATAGTCTTCCCACATAAAGAACACGTTCAAACAGGCATTCCGTCTTCTATGCAAGCACATTGCTTTTTTGTAGAAGAATTTTTAGTCGGCATATCAGGTTATGTAAAGTAGAGCCTGCTGCCAAGTGCGGAACACATTTGGCTTTGCAAGTGGTAATTATAGAGCCAGCTCTGGCAGGGACCAGGCCCTTCACTTTCCAGATGAGCAAACTGAGGTCCAGAGGGTGGCAGGCAGTTGCACGGTTGCTCAGCTAATTGATGGCAATGAGGACTGGAACTCAATTCTTCTGATCCTGGGCCCAGATTTCTCATTTTCCTCCACCAGCAATTGAATATGAGGGGCCGTATTCTACAAAAGGGGCATCAGCTACTGCAAACAGGTGAAAGCTGGGTCCTGGGCTGGTGGCTGATGGCTGAGCCATGGCTTCTTGTGTACCTGGTCCTTGAGCAGCTGCTCAGCCTCCATTCCCCACCCCAGCCCCAAACATGACACCCCAAGAAGGGTAGGGGTCCAGAAGCTTGTCCCATCTTTTGAAAGGCTGCTGAACTGCTAGCTAAGCACTGTTTTAAAGGCCACTAGTATACCTAAGACAAGGTAAAGGTGAGAGGCATGATGGTTCATGCCTGTAATCCCAGCACTTTGGGAGGCCAGGGGCAGGAGGATTGCTTGAGCCCAGGAGTTCAAGACCAGCATGAGCAACATAGGGGACCCCTGTCTCTACAAAAAATAAAATAATTAGTCTGGTGTGGTGGTGCCCACGTGGGCCCAGCTACTTCAGAGGCTGAGGCGGGAGGATTGCCGGAGCCCACAAGGTTGAGGCTGTAGTGAGCTATGATGGTGCCACTGCACTCCAACCTGGGCAACAGTGTGAGACCCTGTCTCAAAAGAAAAGGAATTCCAAGAAAGTGGTGCCGAGGTGGCTGAGGAATAATGCTGGCTCAGCTTCCAAGAGTGTTCCCATGTACTGGTTCTTCCATCTTCAGGTATCTCTGTCCTTGCTTGGAGCTGTGATATTCTGGGCCTTCTGTCTTATCACTCCACTCCTATAGCATTTCTCCCCAAGCCACATCTGTGTAGAACAAGCTTGTTCAACCTGTGGCCTGTGGGCCACATGAGGCCCAGGATGGCTTTGAATGTGGCCCAACACAAATTCGTAAACTTTCTTAAAACATTGTAAGATTTGGGGGGGAGGGGGGATTTTTTTTTAAGCTCATCAGCTATCGTTCGTATTAGTGTATTTTATGTGTGGCCCAAGACTTCTTCTTCCAATGTGGCCCAGGGAAGCCAAAAGATTGGACACCCCTGGTGTAGACCATACCTGTTCTGTGTCTCTTCTCCATCTCCTGCCTACTCCTTTATTACTGGCATTTACTCAAGAAGTCTCTAAACATGATTGGTTTAAAATATAGTGTGTGTGTTTATGTGTATTTGTATTCATTCATTCTACTTTTTACTGAAATAACTGGAAAGGAATCTATGCCCTTTAGGTGATATGAGAAAACATCCAGGAAAAGAGGAACGCATTGTGATTGCTTTGCTCCAGCGGAAAGAGGGCATTTAGAGAAAGAATCCAGGAGAGTTTCCTCCATGTCTAAGCTCTACTGATAATCTTAAAGAAAATTTTACATAAGCAATATCCGATGTGAAAAAAATAAAATAAAACAAGCATGGCCAACTTAATTGAAAAATGCTGGGGCCGGGTGCAGTGGCTCACGCCTGTAATCCCAGCACTTTGGGAGGCCGCAACGGACGGATCGCAAGGTCAGGAGATTGAGACCATCCTGGCTAACACGGTGAATCCCTGTCTCTACTAAAAATACAAAAAATTAGCCGGGCATGGTGGTGGGCGCCTGTAGTCCCAGCTACTGTGGGAGGCTGAGGTAGGAGAATGGCATGAACCTGGGAGGCGGAGCTTGCAGTGAGCCGAGATCGTGCCACTGCACTCCAGCCTGGGTGACAGCGAGACTCTGTCTCAAAAAAAAAAAAAAAAAAGAAAAATATCACAACTTTTACTATAATTTCATTAATGGATTTGTTAACATCATTCATGAAAGCTGGAAAATATATATTTCCTCTAGAATATATAATTAAAAAGTATTTTCAAAATTAACCTTTCAAAAATTGCCCTCAGAAAGATGTAATAATTAATGAGTATTTTCGGAATTGGTCATTAAATGCTTGTGTGTGCTTCTTAACAGCGTCAGAGAAATATGACATTTCTATGACTTACAGCTACATTTGCACATTAAGAGCAACAACACCAAAGAGAAACACCTATCCCTATGTTGAAAATTTCTGTCGAGACTTGTTTGGTACTCCGTTTCTCAACATGAAATTCCACCCCCCTCACACTTGGCAATGACCACTATGCACATGCTGAACCTAAAAATAAGCCATCAAACAAAAATTACTGAGATCTACTATATGCCAGTTAGCATAATAGGCTATTTTCACTAACAGGGAACCCAGTGTGCCCCTGGACTTGTCACCTGCTTGTCTCCCATGTTCATCCATCATCTAGGTGTCATTTTTGGGTCTGCCCTCAGTAGTCCCTTATTGGCTGTGAACTCTGAGAGCTGGCACAGGGATTACTTTTTCCTAACCAGGACCATGGTGGACAGGGAAAGAAAAACTTATGACAGAGCATTTTCCTATAAAAAGGAATATAATTTGGTATTTTTCAAATAAAAAGTTAATCATTTTAATTTTATTTTATTTTGAGACAAAGTGTCACTCTGTTGTCCAGGCTGGAGTGCAGGGGTGCGATCTTGGCTCACTGCAACCTTCACCTCCTAGATTCAAGCAACTATCATACCTCAGCCTCCTGAGTAGCTAGGATTACAGGAGCACGCCACCACATCCAGCTAATTTTTGTATTTTTAGTAGAGATGGGTTTTCACCATGTTGGCCAGGCGGGTCTCGAACTCCTGACCTCTGGTGATCTTCCTGCCTTGGCCTTCCAAAGTGCTGGGATTACAGGCATGAGACACCACTGCACCCAGCCTAAAAAGTTAATCTTAACATTAAAGAAAATTGTATACATGTGTCATAGGCCTATCAATCTCTACAAAAGAGTCACCAGAGTCACTCATTTCTTGCAGTGTGGTAAATCCTAGGCATGACTACTAAAAGCAGAGTAAATTAAGTGCCTTATCTAAACTAAGGGGTATACTGTAGGATAGTTGTTTTTCTGCCCCGAACTCTTTTTCTCCCTGCATGTTAAATTACAGGTATGCCTCAGTGAAATATTTCTGACTTGGATTAAAATTGAATTGCCCAACATAACAAGTCACTTTGGGAGTTGGTAAATCTGAATTGTGAAACAGGAAACTTAACGAATCTGATTTTTAAGTTTTTTTGTTTATTTATTTTTACAGGTAAAATAGACATAACATAAAACTTACCATTTTAACTTTTTTTTTTTTTTTTTTTTTTACAGAGTCTCCCTCTGTCACCCAGGCTGGAGTGCAATGGCACAATCATGGCTCACCACAGCCTCAACCTCCTGTGCTCAAGCGATCCTCCCACCTCAGCCTCCTGAGTAGCTGGGACTACAGGCACTTGGCACAGTGCTAATTTTTTTTTTTTTTTTTTTTTTTAATAGAGATGGGATTTCACCATGTTGCCCAGGCTGGTCTCGAACTCCTGGACTCAAGCAATCTACCTCCCTCCCCCCTTCCTCCCAAAGTGCTGGGATTATAGGTGTGAGCGACCACACCTGGCCCATTTTAACTATTTTTAAGTTTACCATTCAGTGGCATTAAGTACATTCACCATGTTTTGCAATTATTACTACCATCTATTTCCTGAACTTTTCCATTATCCCAAACTGAGGCCAGGAGTGGTGGCTCACTCCTGTAATCCCAGCACTTTGGGAAGCCGAGGCAGGCAGATCACTTGAGGTCAGGAGTTTGAGACCAAACTGAAAGTATTTACACATTAATTTAATTAATACTCTAAATTCTCCTCTCCCTCTAGGGTCTGGTAACCTCTATTCTACTTTCTGTCTCTGAATTTTTCATTCTATGTACTTTATACATAGTATGTGGAATCATACAATATTTTGTCCTTTTCTATATGGCCTATTTCACTTAGCATGTTTTCAAGATTCACCCATGCTGTAATATAACAGAATTTCTTTCCCTCTCTTCCTCACTCCCTCCCTCTTTTCCTTCTTTTTCATTTTTTATTTTTATTTTTATTTTTTTTTGAGACAGGGCCTCACTGTCCCCCAAGCTGGAGTGCAGTGGTGCAATCATGGCTCATGGCAGCCTCAACTTCCCCAGGCTCAGGTGATCCACCTCAGCCTCCCAAGTAGCTGGGACTACAGGCATGCCACCACACCCAGCTAATTTTTGTATTTTTTTGTAGAGATGGGGTTTCACCATGTTGCCCAGGCTGGTCTCAAACCCTGAGCTCAAGCAATCCTCCTGCCTCGGTCATCCCAAAGTGTTGGGATTACAGGCATGAGCCACTTCTCCCAGCTGCATGTCAGAATGTCAGAATTTCATTTCCTTTTTTTTTTTTTTTTTTGAGGCAGTTATGCACTCTGTCGCATAGCTCACTTTAACCTCCAGCTACAGGGCTCCAACTTGAGGGCTCAAATGATTCTGTCTCCTCAGTCTCCCTATGTTGCTCAGGCCGGTCTTGAACTCCTGGCCTCCAGCAATCGTCCCATCCCAGCCTCCCAAAGTTCTGGGATCATAGGCATGAGCCATTGCAAAGGCCTTCATTTCTTTTAAAGGCTGATAATAGTCCACTATAAGTACCTACTACATCCTGTCTTCTGTTCATCTGTTGATGGACACTTGGGTAGTTTCCACCTTTTAGCTATTGTGAATAATGCTGCTATGAACCTTGGTGTACAGGTATCTGTTTGAGTCCCTGCTTTCAATTTTTTGGAGGATATACCCAGAACTAGAGTTGTTGGGTCATATGGTAAGTCTATATTTAATTCTTGAACTCATCATAGTTTAAAACTAACAATAAGAAACATAAAATTTCTCTTGGTTATCCATGCTCAAACCCCGTCGTCAAACTGATCCAAAACCAGCAGCCTCCTTTGGGTCCAGAAGCTTAGCAGTGATCAGACATGGAATGTTCCAGAAGTAGCCACAAAGGAAACTGTTCCAGTGGCTGGGGGGGGAGTTTTGCCTCGAGGTGAGCAATCAGTGCATACTGAATTTAATGAGTAGATGAAAGTCAAAGCATTTGAAGGGCATCTCCACTCTCCAGCTTAATAAAAAAAAGGAAGAAGAAGAAGGGACAAGAAAAAAGGCATAAACCACAAAGCAAAAGCTCAGAGCAAAGGCATCTCTAAACCAGTTTTAAGATATTGGAGCCTGGATCACTCAGGATTTAGAGCTTATGGCAGGTCTGGGCAAGTTAGGGGCTCAGGAAACCACCAGGTGATAATAGGAGGGGGGCTAGTAAGAAGGGAACCAGGGGCAGGTTTGATCGCAGAACTTTCCAAGTGCAGTTTAGGTAAGTGACGGACTGTGTTGGATCTGAGTCTGAGACAGATCAAACTGATATTTCAACAGTTTGTAAAGCACTGGAGTTGGAAGAAGGAAGGTGACACGCAGAAGATCCGCTCCACAGGGCCTAGGCTTAAAGAATGCTAGATAAGGCCGGGCGCGGTGGCTCATGCCCCCAGCACTTTGGGAGGCCGAGGCGGGCGGATCATGAGGTCAGGAGATCCAGACCGTCCTGGCTAACATGGTGAAACCCCGCCTCTACTAAAAATAAAAAAAAAATCAGCCAGGTGTGGTGGCACACGCCTGTAGTCCCAGCTACTTGGGAGGGTGAGACAGGAGAATTGCTTGAACCTGGGAGGCAGAGGTTGCAGTGAGCTGAGATTGTGCCACTGCACTCCAGCTTGGGCGACAGAGCGAGACTCCGTCTCCAAAAAAAAAAAAAAAAAAAAGCTAGATAAGTACTAATTTTTATTGTAGTTATTAAGGCAGTATTTACCCAGTTTCCAGGACTCCACGCCCCGTCCATCTAATCCATCCTACACTCCCCTGACAGACAAATCTTTTAAAATCACCACTTGGCACGCAACATCTCATAGCTCAAGCTCTTTCAGGGCATTGATTGATTGATTGATTGAGACAGAGTCTCGCTTTGTCGCCCAGGCTGGAGTGGAGTGCAGTGGCGCTATCTTGGCTCACTGCAACCTCTACCTCCTGGATTCAAGCGATTCTCAGGCCTCAGCCTCCAGAGTAGCTGGGATTACAGGCACCCACCACCATGCCCAGCTAATTTTTGTATTTTTAAGAGACAGGGTTTCGCCATGTTTAGCCAGGCTCATCTCGAACTTTGGCCTCAAGCTATCCACCCGACTGGGTCTCCCAAAGTGCTGGAATTACAGACATGAGCCAACGCGCTGGCCCCATTATTTATAATCACTGCCTCTCAAACTGGCATAAGAGTAGCTCCAAGGCCACTGACCTAAGAGACAGGTAGCTCCAAGATAAACCCAGGACAGCTCCTGTAAAATGTTTAGGGACAAGCGTTTTACATCAAAACAAACATGAGGATATTATAGAATATGTTAACCCCAAATATCTGAGACCAGTCTCAGTCAATTTAGAAAGTTTATTTTGCCAAGGTTAAGGATGTGCCAGTGACGGGAAGTCCTGACAATATGTACCCAAGGTGGTCGGGGTTACAGTGTGCTTTTATACGTTTTAGGGAGACATGAGACATCAATCAATATGTGTAAGACGTACATTGGTTTGGTTTTGTAAGGCAGGACAACTTGAAGTGGGGGCTTCCAGGTTAGAAGCAGATAAGAGACAAAAGGTTGCATTCTTTTGGGTCCTTGATCAGCCTTCCACTGAATACACAATTTAGTCTGGCTCAGTGAATCTGCATTTTTACATAAACAATAGGCCAGAGGGAGCAATCAGGTATTCATTTGTCTCAGGTGAGCCTCAGAGGGATGACTTTGAGTTCTGTCTGTCCTTTGTCCAAAAGGAATTTCCTGTGGGTAAATTGTGAGGGAGGTATGTAGCTTCTTAGCTATCTTAATTAGGCATAAAATGGGAGGCAGGTTTGCCTGACACGGTTCCCAGCTTGATTTTTCTCCTGGCTTAGTGATTTGGGGGCCCTGAGATTTATTTTCCTTTCACAAATACTATAAAGGAGCTTGCTATGGACTGCTGCATCTTTGCCCCCAGGCACACTATATTGTACTTCAAGAAGTTTACTTCCTCAGGCATTGAGGCACCACCTTGTTAGAGTTTGGGAGGAGGCCAAGAAATAAAGGTTAACATCCAAACTCCTTGAGCTGGGCAGTTAGGACAGTTTTCCACTGGGCCCTCCAAGCCATTCTTCCACCAGGTCCCTGGCCTGCAAAGGTGAGACCCCTTTGTTCTTTCCCCCTTACTGCTTCAGTTTTAGCCAAGCCATGCTGCACTTTTGAACGAGGCATCCTAGCTGTCACTTCCTCCAGCAGTTAACCCCTCTGTCCCTCGGTTCCTCAACTGGATAACAGTAGGGTTGTCGGAGGATGAAATGAGTTAATATGGGTAAAGGACTTAGAACAGTGCCTGGCTGGCAGTGTGCTCTCTGTACTTGGTAGGTATTCTATCGTTATTTTCCCCTACCTGAATGTCGCCTCTTCTCTTGCCTATCAACCACTCCACTCTAAACGCACTTGTAGCGAATCCAAGCCCAAGGCATCCTTTCCTGCACCATCTGAGGAAGACCCCACCCCACTCTTTATTGGCTAGTTCAGATCCAGCTTATATGTAAATGATAAGATGAAAGCCTGAGCATATGTTTTTGAGTCTATCAGTTTGATCATGGAAACTGACAGATTATCAGTAAGGACAACGAAATATAGCGGCATATTGGCCAGTCTCAAATCCTTGAAAGGTGCAAAAGTTAAAAAGTGAAAAGTGGGCCGGGCACGGTGGCTCGCACCTGTAATCTCAGCACTTTAGGAGGCAGACACAGGAGGAATGCTTGAGCCCAGGAGTTCAAGACTAACCTGAGCAACACAGCGAGACCCCCATCTCTACAAAACATGTAAAAATTGTCCGGGTGTGGTGGCGCGCGCCTGTAGTCCCAGTTACTCAGGAGGCTAAGGTGGAGGAACCTTTGAGCCCAGGAGGTCCAGGCTGCAGTGAGCCAAGACTGGGCCAGTGCACTCCAGCCTGAGTGAGAGCAAGACGCTGTCTCAAAAAAAAAAAAAAAAGAAAAGAAAAAGAAATGTAGGTTTTACTTGTGCCTCCACGCCCCACCACGCCCTCCCTTGCTCATCCAGAAGTCGCTTTGCGGTTCCACGCGCGGGCGTCTACGTCCCATCTCAGGCCGCCGGCAGTGAGGCTTTGGGAGGATGAGGCGGTACCGGCACGACCCCCGTACCTGCTCTCCCTCTCGCAGTCTAGCAACCGCCTTTGGCCCAAGTAATCTCGGCTCGCCTAATACAGCGTGCCCCGCCCCTTTCCCGTGGCGACGGGCGGCTAAGCAACGGGAGCGGGCTCTACTCAGTGGTTTCGAGCCCCCCACGCCCCAAGTGAGTCGCAAGCGACTTCCACCTGGGCCCGTAGGGCCTCCGCGTCCCGGGCCGGTCCCCGCACAGGGCGGAGCTGGCCCGGCCCGGAGCTCGCCCCGCCCCGCCTCACCGTAAGCTGACCGTGTGGCGGCCGGGCGAGGGCCTGGCAGGGGAGAGAAGGGGAGGAGAAAGGAGAGGAGGAAAGTGGAGCCTGGCGGGCCGGAGGGAGGAAGGGAAGGGGCGGAGGCCAGGGGCAGAGTGTGCCGGCGCGCGGGGGAGTCTCGGCGCTGGGCGCGTCTCGGAGCCCAAGTCGCGGCCGCCGAGCGGAGCCAGCCCCTCCCCTACCCGGAGCAGCCCGCTGGGGCCGTCCCGAGCGGCGACACACTAGGAGTCCCGGCCGGCCAGCCAGGGCAGCCGCGGTCCCGGGACTCGGCCGTGAGTGCTGCGGGACGGATGGTGGCGGCGGGGCGCGGGCCAGCGCGGGCGCCGTGAGCCGGAGCTGCGCGCGGGGCATGCGGCTGCGGCCCCCGGCCCTCGGCCCCCGCGCTCCGGCCCCAGCCCCGGCCGCCGGCCCCCGCGGAGTGCAGCGACCGCGCCGCCGCTGAGGGAGGCGCCCCACCATGCCGCGGGCCCCGGCGCCGCTGTACGCCTGCCTCCTGGGGCTCTGCGCGCTCCTGCCCCGGCTCGCAGGTAAGCCGCGCCGCCCACGGCGCCCAGAGAAACTTTGTCGCACACTCAGCCGCGGGCGGGCGTCTCGGAGGGGCGGGGAGCGCAGGCGGTGCCTGAGGGCGGAGGGCGCCTTCGGGGCACTCCCTGGTGGGCCAGTCGCTGGGGGACAGCCCCGCGGGGCGCTCCCCGCGCGCAGCCCCGCCGGGCTGTCGTGAGTCTCCTGTTCCCTCCCGGGCTGAGGAGGAGCTTCCCTTCCTGTGTAAACAGGCTGGCCGGCCTGCTGACCTAGCCCGCCAGGGCCCGCGCCCAGGGCACGGGGAGGACCGCCGCCAGCCCTGCCTTGGGGCCCGGGCTCTCCGTTGGCGGGCACAAAGCGGTCCTTGTGGCCGGCCGGGAGCGGGCGGGCTGCTGGGGGGATGCCGTCGGTGCCCTGTTCCCGGAGAAGCAAGGGAGTCTCGAAACCCCAGCCAAAGCCCGGGGCCACCTCCACTCCGGAGGGCTCGCCTCCTGGAACAGCGGGTGCACAGGGCCCACAGCGAATCCTGGAGTTCGCTGCGCCTAGGCTAGCCGCCTGCCTTTGAAGATGCAGCCCCCACCCTCCCCGCCCCCCGCCTGCTTCCTCCTCGCCTAGGCCACCGCAAACCCGAGGGGGCACCCGCGTCCCAAACCACAGCCCCACCTGGGACTTCCCTATTAAATTCCTTCTGCCCGACTTTATCCCGCGATTTGCACACGCTCGGAGCCTCACACTCCCCTAACTGTGGAGGATTCTGGAGCAGAGGACAGGGGCTGTGGAGATTGCCTTAGCCCGACGCTGCGGTGGGCTGGCAGCGTTGCAAGGATCCCTCGGTTACCTGCTCTAACTTTTCAGAGTTGGGAGATGATTGGACGTGGTAGTTTGGAGGCCCTCGAGGAAGGATGCACTTGTTTGGGATGCGGATTTTCTCCTTTCTTTTAGGAAATAATAGTGCTCTATTAACTTTCAAGCCGGAGATACTTGATTGCTCTTGTGAGCCAAGTGGTTGCCTGGCTGCCCGAAGGGAGGACTGTTCCCCCACGGTGTCTCATTTACATGAAGGCAGTGGAGGTTTAGGTTTAAGAGCGGAGGAGGGGTCTGAGCAAACAATAACTTCGTTCAGACCCTAATTCAAACTTAATACTGTAGCAAGGTTTTTGGTTTTTGTTTTAAATGGGAAAATAATCACTCCAGAGCTTGGAGAGTAGATGAGTGGATTCCAAACACCCATCCGGCAGCCAGTGCCCATCACGGATATTTTCATGGGTCCCTAGGGAAAGCGAGGAGCAGGAAGATGTAGCCTGCATCACACAGGAATGTATTGTTGTCAACGCTCCCCTGCTCCACAAGGACTTTCCTTTAGTTTGAAATTAGGCACTTTTTCTTTTTTTGGTGGGAACATTTTCTTTTAATACTTCTTAATAATATTAGTAGTTTTTAATTTTGGCAAAATAAGAAAATCTGACAACCCTATGTTAAGCTCCCCTTCTCTTTTTCTGTTTGTTTCTTTTGTTTTGTTTTTAAATCTTAGTTTTCTTTGAAATCCAAAAGTTCAGAAACTGCCAAAGGAGATGGCTTTTAAGTTCCTTTCCAGCTTGACATTCTGTAATTCTGACAAACAGAATTATAATAATAATTTCTAGTTGCAAATAATTTTTTTTTTTTGAGTCAGAGTTTCAGTCTTGTAGCCCAGGCTGGAGTGCAGTGGTGCCATCTCGGCTCACTGCAACCTCCACCTCCCAGGTTCAAGCAATTCTCCTGGCTTAGCCTCCCAAGTAGCAATGATTACAGGCGCTGCGACCATGCCCGGCTAATTTTTGTATTTTTAGTAGAGATGGGGTTTCACCATGTTGGCTGGGCTGGTCTTGAACTCCTCACTTAAGGTGATCTAACTGCCTTGGCCTCCCAAAGTGCTTCAATTACAGGCATGAGCCACCACGCCTGGCTGCGAATAATTTCTAAAAATACATTATTTTCCACTTGCATCTTGCTTTCTCTTTTTCAGAGTTCACGTACATCTTCACGGTGATGTCCATTTTCTCATATGGGCTCAGGAAGGAAGTGACTTGCCCTTCCCCTCTACTTGGGTCAGGAGTGGTGGACCAGGGACCATGGCTTTTGGTCCAGTGCCCTTTGTCCTACCGACTCAGCTTAAGGAAGAGAAAAGCACTGAGCATGGTGGTTCATTTGCAACTCTTTTGGGGTCCTGTTTTCCCATTGCCTATCTTTTCTTTTCTTTTTTTTTGAGACAGAGTCTCACTCTTGTTGCCCAGGATGGTGTACAGTGGCATGATCTCAGCTCACCACAACCTCTGCCTCTCAGGTTCAAGTGATTGTCCTGCTGAGTAACTGGGATTACAGGCATGTACCACCACGCCTGGCTAATTTTGTATTTTTAGTAGAGACAGGGTTTCACCATGTTGGTCAGGCTGGTCTCTAACTCCCAACCTCAGGTGATCCGCCCGCCTCGGCCTCCCAAAATGCTAGGATTACAGGTGTGAGCCACCACGGCTGGCCTCTGCCCATCTCTTTGACTACAGGTTTTGGTGGTGGTGGTGGTGGAGCAAGCCATGGCACTGGCCTCCAGAACTTGCTGCTTACCTCTTAGGGCCCTGAAGCTTCTCAGGATTAGCAGAGGTTGACTCACATCTGTGTCATTTCTCCTAGTTTTTCAGTGTTGCTGAATTAACTTCAACATTCTTTTTTTTTTTCTTTTTTTTTTTTGCTTCCCTTCCCTTCTTTGTTTTCTTGAAGCACTACAGGTACTTTATTCAGGGAGTGTTTCTGTCTTGCCACTAGGAACATTATTTGAAAGAAAAAAACCTAGTTACTCAGAGAAAAGAAAGAGATGACCCTCAGGGCCATGCCTGCCTGGGTGTTCCTGGACCAGTGGTTGAGTGCCTCTCTCTGTTGCTCTAACCCCACTTTCATCTCAGTACGGATTTCCAGCAGGAAACTGACCTTAGGTTTCAGGGGCTCATTTCAAACAAGTCCCTGGCCGGCTGACAACCCCCTCCCGTCCCCACCAAGGGCTATCTCCTGCTCTTTTTATTATCTTATGGCCAAGAGCCTTCAGACAGAATCCTAGGATGTGGTCTTCCCACAAAACCAGGGGTCTCACTGAGGTGAGGCTTTTCCACGCTGCCTTTGCTAAGACAGAGAGAGGAACACCGTCTTATAAAGAGGATCCTGCAACACCGCTGGAATTATGTGTGCTATCACATTCATTTCTTTTTAAAAAAGCAATCGAATGTTCTTCTAGTGAATGCTCTGCACATCCTAAGAAAGCCCTTTGTTTTATTTAGTGGACTCATGTTGGCAGCACCCTTCCTCTACCCCCAACCCCCTACCACATTTCCTGTGGTCTGTGATGGGGTTGTTGGAATTTGGCTGGGTCTGCAGCTCTCTGTAGGTAACCAGGCACAGGTTTAGAGCTGACAGGACAATGAAATACAAACAGTGGGTTTGGTCTGTAGACTGCTGTTTATCCTATGGATTTACATTTTAACTCCATCATCCTTGAGTTGGGGGAGCTTTTTATAAAGGGGATTGAGGCAGAAGAGGGCAGGGTCTAATTAGCTCTAATTAGTATTCCCCGCCTGCTTGTTCTCCATGCTTATTTAGCTACTGAGGCAACGGGGAATTAAAATATCTAAGTAGTTTGGCAAAAGGCCTTTTGTGCCTGCGTGGCCTGGTAACTACTTTTTCTTATTCAGCCTGGCCATGGAAATATTCTGAGATGCTTTAACGATATCAGTAATGTGGGACAATTACAAACTACTTAAATAATAGGGCCCCTTTCACATGGCAGTGTGCAGCTGGGTTAATGGGATAGGGTCTCTTTTCACAGGTATTTCCAGTTGGCTGGAGCCGAGGGCCTTGGAGAACTGACTGCCGTGGTTTGTTTTCCTTCTTTCCGGTTCGAATGGGATTAATGGCCTCTATAAATGTAAAGGAATGCTTTATTTAGAGGCACCCATTTGTTTCTGAGGCTTCTTGCTTCCGTTGAATGCAGGGTTTACTTCCCGGGCCTCATGGTGAAAAGTTTGCTCTAAGACAGGCTTGACTCATCCCCTAAGGCTGATGCTTTGAAGGCACTGCGGGGTACCCTGCCCTCTCTTTATAGGATTCCCTCCCCAACTCCAGCCAGACATTTTCAGAGCTGGTTGTCTCTTGTAGAGCTGGGACCTACTTCTGCAACTTGTTCTCTTTAGTTATTCTCAACTGTCCCTCAGAGTGATCCTGAGATCCAACTCAAGTCAGATCATATCTCTCTGCTTAAAACCTTCGAATGGTTTCCCAGAGTCCTGCCAGGCTCCACGAACTCTCCACCTACTTCTCTGACTTTCCTTCACCACTTTCCCTTCGATCCTTTGCTCCAGCAGCATGGGCCTCCCACTGTCCCTTCAGCGTGCCAGCCATGCTCCCATGGCAGCCCTTCTCCCTGCCTGGAATACTGTCCTCCAAGATATCTGCATGACCGGCTTCCTCCACCCTGCAACCCTTTTTCTAGCATCTCCTGCTCAGCCAAGTTTTCCCTGGCCGCTCCCAGCTAAAGCTGCAACCTCCTCCCTATATCCCGAGTTCTTTTTATCTGCTTTTCTTCTTTAATTTTTGTCCTTAGCACTCACCACCATCTAATGTAACTACATATCTTCTTCACTATTTCCCCTAAGTAGAATTCTCCCCCAGCCAGGATGTGAGCTCCGTGAATAAGGGAGTCTTGTTGGTTTTATTCATCTCTGTATCCTCCATGCCTACAACAGCACCAGGCACATATTTGTTGAATGAATAATGGATGAACCTGAATCTTGGTAATTGGGAGGTGAAGAGGGCGATGCATCCCGTCCTCAACTCCCTGTTGCCTTCCACAGCTAGCTTTGAAGTCAGGGACTATGCATGCGGCTTGTTAGGAAGAAACATCCTGGGAGAAAGAGATTCTGTTGGAATGTGTCAGGATTTTTTTTTTAATTGGAGTCTCACTCTGTTGCCCAGGCTGGAGTGCAGTGGTGCAATCTCTGGTCACCGCAACCTCTGCCTCCCAGGTTCAAGCGATTCTCCTGCCTCAGCCTCCCGAGTAGCTGGGATTACAGGCGTACACCACCGCACCTGGCTTATTTTTTAATTTTTAGTAGAGATGGGGTTTCACCATGTTGGCCAGGCTGGTCTTGAACTCCTGACCTCAGGTGATCTGCCCACCTTGGCCTCCCAAAGTGCTGGGATTACAGGCATGAGCCACCACTCCTGGCTTTGTGTTAGGATTTTTTGAGCTGGTATGGAGGCCATTTGGTCTACTCCCTGAGTTGTTTGCATGAGGAAGCTGAGGCCTGGAAAGGTTAAGTGACTTGCCCTAGGTCACATAACCAATAAGTGACAGAACAAGTCCTCTGATCTTTTATACCCAGTATATCCTGTTCTCCTTCCCTACATCCCTGGGTGGAGCAGAACTATCTCCTCCTCCTCCTGCTTTCATGGCCCATTCCATTAGAGAGACTGGGGGCTGCAGCTGGTCTGTCTCACCTGCTACCTGGTTAATAGCCCTGGTCTTATTTACCTGTGTCCCTGACACAGCCACAATGCTTGGTACTCAGATGATCCCTTCTCTCACCCCAGGATTTTAATGGGCTTAGAAAAACTTTATTTAAAAGATTTGGCCAGGCAGGGTGGCTCACACCTATCATCCCAGCACTTTGGGAGGCCGAGGCAGGCAGATTACCTGAGGTCAGGAGTTCGAGACCACCCTGGCCAACATGGCAAAATCCAGTCTCTACTAAAAATACAAAAATTAGCCAGGCATGGTGGTGTGCACCTGTAATCCCAGCTACTCAGGAGGCTGAGGCAGGAGGATCGCTTGAACTTTGGAGGCCGAGGTTGCAGTGAGCTGAGATCACACCACCGTACTCTAGCCTGGGAGACAGAGACTCTGTCTCAAACAAACAAACAAACAAACAAACTTTTACATATGTACTTTTTCTTTTCTTTTTCCCTTTCTTTTTTATTTTATTTTGAGATGGAGTCTCACTCTGTTGCCCAGGCTGGAGTACAGTGGTGTGATCTTGACTCACTGCAACCTCTGCCTCCTAGGTTCAAGCCATTCTCATGCCTCAGCCTTCCAAGTAGCTGGGATCACAGGCACGTGCCACCATGCCTGGCTAATTTTTTGTATTTTTAGTAAAGATAGGGTTTCACGATGTAGGCCAGGTTGGTCTTGAACTCCTGACCTCAGGTGATCTGCCTGCCTCAGCCTCCCAGAGTGTTGGGATTACAGGCATGAGCCACTGTGCCCGGTGTCTCTTTTATTTATTTATTTATTTTTTAAAAAAAGACAGAATCTCGCTCTGTCACCCAAGTTGGAGTGCATTAGCGTGATCATGGCCCACTGTAGCTTGAACTCCTGGGCTCAACTGCTCCTCCCACCTGGTCCTTGCAAATTGTTGGGATCACAGAAGTGAGCCAGTGTGCCTGGCCCTTAAAAAAGCCTTCAAAGAATTTAGAGCAGTTTTAGATTTCCAGAAAAATTGAGAAGATAGTGCAAAGAGTTCCCATCTACCTCACACCCAGTTTTGCCTATTATTAACATCTTACATTAGTATGGTACCTTTATTATAATTAATGAACCATATTGATATGTTATTATTAACTAAAGTCCATCAGTTTAGATTTCTTTAGTGTTTACCTAAGTCCTTTTTCTGTTCTAGGATCCCATCCAAGATACCACAATACATTGAGTTGTCATGTCACCTTGGGTTCCCATGGCTGTGACAGTTTCTCAGTCTTTTCCTTGTTTTTTATGACCTTGACAGTTTTAAGAAGCACTGGTCAGATATTTTGTAGATCATCCCCCTCTTGGGATTTTCTGATTTTTTCCCGTGATTAGACAGAGTTAGGTGATTTTGGAAGAAGAACATAGAGGTAATCAATTGCCTCTTTAAAAAAATACCTTTTGATAGGTAATATAGTCCCATAATTTTTAAAAGTATAACTCATATCAAGCGAGAAGCCTCTCTTTCTTGTTGCCCATCAGTGTGGGATATTTCTGTGACCCCCTTTTCTAAATAAATTGTGCCTATATAGTTCCTATTATAAAGCTAATAAGCTTTCTTATGTATCCTGAGGGTTTCTATGGATATGTTACGAATATCCCTCTTTCATTTTTATTCAGAGGCAGCACAAAACACAGTATGTATCTTGCTTTTTATTTTTAACTTAGCGATGTATTGGGGTAAGCTTCCTGTCAATACAGAGAGCATGCTCATTCTTTCTTTATAGCTGTCTAGCACTCCATTATATGAATTGGTGTTTTAAAAATAGAAGTCAGATCTGTAAGGCTGGTATTGTTGAGTGTTGTGCAGATGTCTGATGTTCATAAAGGCAGTCTTGAATGAGAACTGCTGGGATAGAACCTTCCTAGGGCATATTTGCATTTCATGGTAACATTTAGACATATGGCTATTTAGTTGCTGGAGTCTATACTGGGACTCTTTTGTCCATTGTGTGACAAATGTGAGGGCCTGGTTCAGGGTGTGGGGAGAAGCATTCCAGGGCATTGCCATCTTCAAGGCAGAAAGGCCATTTCAGCTTCTGTATTCACTTCTGTTATCCTACTGAATATTTTGGATCAGGAAATTCCAACTGCAGATGTATGTTTTAGTAGTAGTTGTCTGACCTTGGACCCATGGGGTGTACAGAAGTGGAGAGAGGCTGAATGGAAGGAGGCCAGCCAGGAGGCTATGGCAGGAATTTAGACCAGAGGGCCTGGCTTGGGTTGTTGGGGCTAGAGGTTGCAGACAGGAAGGGTTGGCTTAGGATAAACATTTCTTGCATCTTGAAAGGAGTGATCAACCGGATGCGGTGGCTCCTTGAATGATTGATGAAACACAGGGGTGAGTCAGTGAATTTTGGAAGAACATATTTTTAGATTACAGTTTGCAGTAAACACTGGGCTTCAGAGACGTGAGGCAAAAGAGATACATGGAGTTGCCACCGAGCTGGGAATAGTCACTATGCAAACAGCAAAGAAGATGAGATGTGGCTATCATCTGGGCTGCTAGTTCCTGTTTCCATGACCTAGACCTAACACTGACATTTGTGAACTCCGTGTGTTTAGTTTTTTATTCATTGCTTCCTTCCTTTTCAAAATGCTTATTGGTGCCAAATGACTCATCCAGCAAAGTCCAAACTCTGAAATATTAATAGGTGGAGAGAGGAGAGATGCCAAAGGGAGTGAGTCTGACATTACACATACCAGCACACAGCCTGTGGTTTTGGATCCTGGAGTACCTGTCTGGTACCTGGTACCCGGCACACTGTGAGTTCCTGGACATCAAGGGCTGGTAGGTCATTCACCTGTGCATTTCTAGCATCCCCCCAGTCCAGTGCTCAGCGTTTAGGGTGTGTTAAGTGCAGAGTTTCTTGAATTTGAATGTGTCCCAACAGCAACTGAATTTTAGGGCAATCATTTTGAGTACAAACGACTTTACTTTTCCATGTGAATATTTAATAATAACAGAAACAGTTAGTAATGCTATATGACAAATTGTTTTACAGTTGTTCATGATGTTTTCATACCAGGTGACTATCACATCCTTTGAGTTTCTTTGGTATTGTGTCCAATTAAGTAAGGGCTTTTAGGCTGGTGGACCAGAAGACCAGAGCTCAGTCTGATCTGCATCAGAATTGAGGAGCTCTTATTGTCCTGAGCCCTGGACCTCCAGCCCAAGTTCCCAGAGCTCATGATGAGGCTCTGGTAATTATAAAGTGTTGTTTGCAAATGTATGTGGCTTTGAAGCTGGATACGGTGGCTCACGTCTATAATCCCAGCACTTTGGGAGGCTGAAGTGGGCAGATCACTTGAAGTCAGGAGTCGAAGTCAGAAGACCAGCCTGTCCAACATGCTGAAACCCTATCTCTATTAAAAATACAAAAATTAGCCAGGCGTGATGGCATATGCCTGTAATCTCAGCTATTCAGGAGGCTGAGGCAGGAGAATCACTTGAACTTGGGAAGCAAGGTTGCAGTGAGCCAAGATCATGCCCCTGCAGTCCAGCTTGGGCAACAAAGCAAGACTCTGTCTAAAAAAAAAAATTATGTGGCTTTGATCAGAGTCCTACGTGAGGCCTTTGACCTCAAATTCCTTTCTGATAAAGGGGCTGTTACAGATCTCCAGAGGACCCTAGAGCTCAGCAGGTCACACCAGCCCTACATCCAAGATGGCAGAGGGACCACCAGGCAGGTATCCCATGTGGGCACTTGCTGGTCAGGACCCCGTCTGACCTCTTTTTTGTAGATAGGGCTCCTTGTTTCAAGTCACATACTCTCATTATCTTACATTTTCATCTATAAAAAGAGGCAACTTGACTAGCTCATCTTAAAACAATCCTAGCCCCAAGGTGCTATAATCTCATGATTTTATGAAAATGATTTTATATATCAAAGAAAAGGATATGCCACAACGAGCCTGAGTTTGTATTTGATAAGGTTGAGGAGAGGAGGAGCAAAGTTACTTTCATTCTAGATTTATTTTTTTTCCCCTGCAGATAGTGATTGCTGACAGGTACGGGGATTTGACCAAAAAATGGGACTGACATTTTGCAACTCTTTTCCTGCACACACTTTTGTTTTTAAAGGCTTAAGTGCCTATTTAAAAATCACTAAGTGAGCCAGGTGTGGTAGCTCACGCCTGTAATCCTAGCACTTTGGGAGGCCCAGGCAGGAGGATCACTTGAGCCCAGGAGTTTGAGACCAGCCTGGGCAACATGGCAAGACCCTGTCTTCCACCACAAAAAAAAAAAAAAAAAATTAGCCAGGTGTGGTGATGTGTACCTGGAGTCCCAGCTACTTGGGAGGCTGAGGTGGGAGGATCACTTGAGGCTAGGAGTTTGAGGCTACAGTGAGTTATGATCACACTACTGCACTCTAGCCTGGGCAGCAGAGCTAGACCCTGTTTCAAACAAAGAAAAAAAAACAAACAAGAAATCAAAAAAAAGAAAAGAAAAGAAAACTCACTGAGTGAGTGAATTCATTTAAAATTAGGAGGTTGTCAGCACATACACAGGCAGGTCCAGCTTCCCAGTAGGTTGTGTTCTCAGACCTTCTTCGTCCACATTTGGCCCTGGATGGCTTTTCCTGCTGAAGTGAGGTCAGGCAAGGTGGGTGGGTCCCAGCAGCCTCAGATCCTCCTGCTGTAGGCCTCCCTGGGTGAGGTAGATAAGGATGAGGAGGCCTAGGGTTCAGGGTTAGGGCTGGTGGAAACCTTTGTTCTCACCCCCTGTGGGTTCTCAAAGCCTCTCTTCCTTTCTTCCTAGCCTCTCAGCTTCTGCCTGTTTCTCCCTTCCCTCTGGTCCCAGCTACTATCCTTATGCCAATTGGTATTTCTTCCTTCTAAAGTCCCTGGGGTGACATGATAAAGCTTCCTTCCCCTACCACCACCTCCTGCACCCACCCCTCTGCCAGTCAGCAGTTTTGCCGTTTGCGATTTCTGTGAGTTTTTACTGCTAGTGACAAAGGAGAAGCAGGGAGTTAAAATTAGCAAATTAGGGAAATGTTCCAGTTGCAAGATACTGGTTTGTTTTTTTTTTAACCCCTATTTTGGCATTTCTTCTCTTTTACTTTTTAAATTTTTCTTTTCTTTTTCCAGCTTTATGGAGGTAGTTGACAAATAATTGTGTATATTTACAGTATATGATATGATGTTTTATTATATGTATATATTTGTAGTGATTACTACCATCCAGCTAATTCACATATTTATCACCTCCCATAGTTATCTTTGTGTCTGTGTGGTGAGAGTATTTAAGATCTACTCTCTTAGCAATTCTCAAGTGTGCAATACATTATTATGAACTATTTTCACCATTCTGCACAATAGATCTCCAGAACTTATTCATTCTCTCTAACTGGAACTTTGTACCCTTTAACCATCTCGCCTTTCTCCATCCCACCTCAACCCCACCAGCCATGGCAACCACCATTTTACTCTCCGTATTTCTGAGTTCAGTTTTTTTCCACTCCACGTATAAGTGACATAATGCAGTATGTCTTTCTGTGCCTCGCTTAATAGTGTCCTCCAGGTTCATCCATGTTGTCCCAAATGACAGGATTTTCTCAATTTTTTAAGGCTGAATAGATTACATTGTATGTGTATACCACTTTTTAAAAATACCACATTTTCTTTATTCATCTGTCTGTTGATTGCATATCTTGGCTGTTATGAATAGTGCTGCAAGGAACATGAGAGTGCAGGTATGTCTTTGACATACTGATTTCATTTTCTTTGACTATATACCCCGAAGTGGAATTGCTGGAACACATAGTACTTCTGGTTTAAGGAACCTCCATATCATTTTCCATAATAGCTGTACTAATTTACATTCCCACCAACAGTGTACAGAGTTTCCCTGGTTCCCTTTTATCCACATTCTTGCTAGCACTGGCTTTTGTCTTTTTTTTTTTTTTTTTTTGAGACAGAGTCTTGCTCTGTCACCCAGGGTGGAGTGCAGTGGCACTATCTCGGCTCACTGCAGCCTCCGCCTCCTGGGTTCAAGTGATTCTCGTGCCTCAGCCTCTCAAGTAGCTGGGATTAGGAGGTGCACCACCACACCCAGCTAATTTTTGTATTTTTAGTAGAGATGGGGTTTCACCATGTTGCCCAGGCTGGTCTCTAATCCCTGATCTTAGGTGATCCACCCACCTCGGCCTCATAAAGTGCTAGTATTACAGGTGCGAGCCACGGTGCCTGGCCCATTGCTCATTTTTGTAACTGGGTTATTTGCTTTCTTAATATTGAGTTGTTTGAATTCTTTATGTATTTGGATGTTAACCACTTATCAGATGTGTGGTTTGCAAATATTCTCTCGCATATAGTAGGTTGTTTCTCTGCTCTGTTGATTGTTTCCTTTGCTGTGCAGAAGCTTTTTAGTTTGATAGAATTCCATTTGCCTATTTTCATTTTTGTTGCCTGTGCTTCTGGGATAATATTCAAAAAGTCATTGCCTAGTCTGATGCCAGAGAGCTTTCCTCGTGCATTTTCTTTTGGTAGTTTTACATTTCAGGTGTTATATTTAAGGTTTTAAACCATATTGAGTTGATTTTTTAAATATAGTGTGAGATAAGAGTTCAGTTTCATTCTTCTGTATATGGATATCTGGTTGTCCTAAAACCATTTATTGAACAGACTGGCCTTTCCCCATTGTGTGTTCTTGACAACTTTGTTGAAGATCAGTTCACTGTAAATGCCTGGATTTATTTCTGGGCACTTTATTCTGTTCCATTGGTCTACATGTCTGTTTTTATGCCAGTACTGTGCTGTTTTAATTACAGTTGCTTTGTAGTATATTTTGAAATCAGGTAACACAATGCCTCCATCTTTGTTCTTCTTGCTTAAGATTGTTTTGGCTATTTGGGTTTCATACAAACTTTTGTGGTTTTATAAAAATTTTAGGATTGTTTTTTCTATTTCTGTGAAAAATGACATTGGGATTTTGACAAAGAGTGAATTAAATTTTTAGACTGGATAGCATGGACATTTTGACAATATTAATTCTTCCAAACCGTGAGCACAGGATATCTTTCCATTTTGGGGATATTCTTCAGTTTCTTTTTCTTTCTTTCTTTTTTTTTTTTTTTTTTTTCCGGCTTTTGAGACTGGGTCTCCCTCTGTTGCCCAGGCTGGAGTGCAGTGGTACGATCATGGCTCAAAGTGCACACTACCACACCTGGTGAAATTTTGTTTTTCTTAGAGACAGGGACCCTATGTTGCCTAGGTCGGTTTCAGACTCCTAGGCTCAAGCAATTCTCCTGCTTTCGCCTCCAAAATGTTGGGATTATTATAGGCATGAGCCACCATGCCTAGCCTTGGGTTTTTTTTTTTTTTTATTTGACCTATTAATAGATATATTGAATCAATGGATTTCCTCTATCTTAATTCAACATTGTATTCCTGGGATGCATGGCTTCTTTCAGTACACTGTACATTTTGATGTGAGAGTATTTGATTTAGAATTTTATTTTTTTAAAAAAATTCTTGAATAAAACCAATGTATTCTTTTTTCTTTTCTTTTCTTTTTGTACTATTTTTGTCATTTTGGATAGACTAAGTGTAAAGGGGCCTTGTTTTCTCTCAGCAAGAGAGGATTTGCTGAGTTATGGGGAAAATGAGAATCCAAGTGGGTCTAGCAGAAGAAATGGAAGTCGCTAACACAAGCGTGCATGCTTGGTGAATGCTTCAAAAACTCAATGTTCAGCCTTAGCAAATGAGCCTTAACCTGCAATTAGCAATGGTACCTGCACCCTTTAGACTCAGAGAGGCCTCCTGTTAAAGAAGGATGTAATTCCCCCTATTCAAAGGCTTGATCCATGAAGTTTATAGCCAGGAACTAATTAGTGCATCTTTATCTTGCTTTAAAGGTCTCAACATATGCACTAGTGGAAGTGCCACCTCATGTGAAGAATGTCTGCTAATCCACCCAAAATGTGCCTGGTGCTCCAAAGAGGTATGTAGGTGGGGGAGGGGAGGAAGAAGGGAAGGAATGCTGCGAGGGTGAGGGTGAGAAGGAGGCCAACACCACAACACACTAATTCACTATACATAAAAATCCTGTGCAGATTCTGTAAGCTGCCTCTTCCCCATCAGGGCAGAGTGATGACAAATCCAAGTTTATGAGACAATAAGATAAACTGGGTTTCTTGATACTGTGGAATGCTAATCCTGTTTTGGGGAAACAAGACTTTCCTTCCCTTTTGTTTGGAGACCAGTTAGGATTCATCTATAGTTTTCTGATCTTTGGTATAAGAACTCCAAAAGACCTGAGCTTGTGAATTGAGTTTGTTGCATAATGATTCAAAACATATCTAGATGGCTGGCATGTTGGTGGAAGCCAGTCATCTTAGTGTGTTTACTTGAGAATAAATATTAGGAATTAGCCTTTATGGAATGATTTTATTTAGAAATAATGGCTGCCATTTCTTTAAGCCTTTTAGAAAGAGATATAGGTTTGGGACAATGTTAGGCTATTGGTATCATAAAGCAATATGGGCTGGGTACTGTGGCTCATGCCAGCATTGTGGGAGGCCAAGGCAGGAGGATTGCTTGAGGCTTGAGCTCAGGAGTTTGAGTCCAGCCTAGACAACATAGCGAGATTCTATCTCTACTAAATAAATCAGGAAAGAAAGAAAGAGAGAGGGAGGGAGGAAGGAAGGAGGGAAGGAAATGTAACTTGGTGGACTAATCAGAAAATGATCGATTTCTAAATTTCCTCTCTTGAAGGAAATTTCTGGGTCACAAACCCTCCCTGTAAAAGTGCCCCATTAAGGTTATTTGTAAAGGAATCCAGGACTTTTTGACTGGCTCAGTCTGCAATGCAGTGCGTGGTCCCTGTCAGGAGGACCAAGAGATGGCTCACGGGAGGCTGGGGTTAGTCTCCATCATGGCAGCCTCAGAGGTCTAGGGATTCCTTTAACCTATGATGGCTAAAAATGATCATGTGGGGACTCTACTAGATGTCATACACTTTGTACATCATACAATATCTCTGATCCTCACAATAGCTCTGTCAGGTGGGTGTAATACACTTGTTTTATTGATGAAAATCTCAGACTCAGAGCAGTAAAATAACTCACTCAAGGTCACACAAGTGTGCCAAAGCTGGGGTTTTAATCTGACCTCTGAGCCCAAGCTTTTCCCTCCAGACTATATGGCCTCTTGCTTGCTATATGAACTCTCTAAAATGCCAATTTTAAAACTTTGGGAGTTCTCAATTTACTTTGAGAGTGGAATCTTCCCAACATATAAACCTTTAATCATATTTGTGATTAATTGTACCATCTTTGTTATCACCCTTCTTTAAAATCTTCCTTTCGTTCTCTATGACCTGCAGGGCAGATCCAAGCTCTGTGGCTCTTGCCTTCCTCCTACCATCATCTCTTGTCTGACCTGACATTTAGCCAGAGGGAACCACCTGCAGATACCCAGAGAGCCCAGCTTGAGAAACCCTGCCTGATCTTCCCGGTGTTTCTCCCCTCCCTGGAGAGCCTTCCTGGCTTTTTCTTCCTCCTTTCCTTCTTTTATTTATTTATTTATTTATTATTTATTTTTATTTTTATTTTTATTTTTTGAGACAGGATCTTGCTCTGTCACCCAGGCTGGAATACAGTGATGTGATCATAGCTCACTACAGCCTCCATCTCCTGGGCTCAAGCAGTCCTCCTACCTCAGCCACCAGGTAGCTGGGACTACAGGTGTGGGCCACTGTGCTCGGCTAATTGAAAAAATATCTTTTAGAGGTGGGATCTCTCTATGTTTCCCAGTCTTGTCTGAAACACCTGACCTCAAATGATTCTCTTGCCTTGGCCTCCCAAAGTGCTGGGATTACAGATGTGAGCCACCATGCCCGGCCCCTCCTTTCCTTGACTGATACCTTGTTTTATCGTTTTTAAGAATCAATTCGGCCAGGCGCGGTGGCTCACGCCTGTAATCCTAGTACTTTGGGAGGCTGAGACGGGTGGATCACAAGGTCAGGAGTTCGAGACCAGCCTGGCCAATATGGTGAAACCCCATCTGTATTAAAGATACAAAAAATTAGCCAGGCGTGGTGTCATGCACCTGTAATCCCAGCTACTTGGGAGGCTGAGGCAGGAGAATTGCTTGAACCTGGGAGGTGGAGGTTGCAGTGACCTGAGATCAGGCCATTGCACTCCAGCCTGGGCAACAGGGCGAGACTCTGTCTCAAAAAAAAAGAATCAATTCAGGCCTGGTGTGCAGTGGCTCACACCTGTAATCCCAGCACTTTGGGAAGCTGAGGTGAGTGGATTGCTTGAGCTCAGAAGTTCAAGACCGGTCTGGGCAACATGACGAAACCCCGTCTCTACAAAAAATACAAAAAATTAGCTGGGTGTGCTAGTGCATGCCTGTAGTCCCAGCTACTTGGGGGGCTGAGGTGGGAGGATCACTTGAGCCCGGGAGGAGGAGCTGTAGTGAGCCAAGATTGTGCCACTGCACTCCAGCCTGGGCGACAAAGCAAGACCCTGTCTCAAAAAAGAAAAAAAAATTAATCAGTTTAACCTCATCTACTCCATAACGACCTGCATACCTGACTGTCTCCATCTGTCTATCCATTCATTTATCCATCCATCCATCTGTCTATTTATCTGTGTATCCATTTGATATGAGAATGTAAGCTCCCTCCACTGGGGTTTTTTTTTTTTTTTTTCTTTTGAGATGGGGTCTCATTCTGTAGCCCAGGTTGGAGTGCAGTGGCATGATGTCGGCTCACTGCCACCTCCACCTCCTGGGTTTAAGCAATTCTCTGCCTCAGCCTCCTGAGTAGCTGGGATTACAGGCACGTGGCACCACACCCGGCTAGTTTTTGTATTTTTAGTAGAGACGGGGTTTCACCGTCTTGGCCAGGCTGGTCTTGAACTCCTGACCTCGTGATCCACCCACCTTGGCCTCCCAAAGTGCTGGGATTATAGGTGTGATCCACCATGCCCGACTGGGGCAGGGGTTCTATCTGTTTTCTTCATTGCTGTATTCCTGAATGGCGCTTACCACATAGTAGTTGCTCAAAGGATTTCACTGGATGGCTATTTATTGTGTGTCTGCTAGGTGCAGGCCATGACTACCTCTTTGTCTCCGTGTACTCTGTGCTTCTTTAGTATTTATAACCTCTTTTTGTTTTAATTTGTTTTCATGCCTGTTACCAACTAAATCATCATCTCCTTGAGAAACTAAACTGTCTTATCTTGGATACCCAGTATCCAGCCAAGAATCTGGCAGGAATTTGTATTTGATATAAGAGTACTGTTAAAAAGACATGAAGTTAGAAAAACCAAAGTTTCAATCAGTTTTGCTGTGATTTACTCTTAATTTCTTGATATGTAAAATGAAGGTGATTGTTCCCACCCTCCAGCATGACTGGGAGTGTAAAATGAGATCCGTGCATGAGAGGACTTGTGGACAAGGCTGATTAGCTGAGCCTCCTGAATGGCTGCCACTGTCATCCATGAGTATTTTCTAGTGACATGTGGCTAGAAAATCCAGAAGCCAGGTCCATTTTTACTTTAAATAGCTTCTTTCCTTGTGCTAGTACTTCCACAAGTCAGACTTCCTGATGCTGACAGTAAATGAAGGTGTCCCTAGGAGCTTGTTATCACCCCAGCCCACACTTAGGTTCCCTGTCCAGCCCACTGGGCTCCCTCTCTGCTCATCAGGAGCCTCATTCTTAGCTGAAGAAATTCCTATGATCCCTGCCCTGGAATGCAGCTTCCCATCTTCTTTGGGGGTGACTTTTCCCCAGGACATGGGTGTGTTTTAGAGAGCCAGGTTAGGAGAGTTCAGGAATGGTTATTTATTTATTTATTCATTTGAGGCAGGGTCTCACTCTCATCATCCAGGCTGGAGTGCAGTGATAGAATCATGGCTCACTCTAGCTTCAACCTCCCAGTCCCAGGTGATTCTCCTACCCAGCTTCCTGAGTAGCTGGGATTACAGGCGCGTGCCACCATACCTGGCTAATTTTTGTATTTTTAGTAGAGACGGGGTTTCACCATGTTGTCCAGGCTGGTCTCAAACTCCTGGGCTCAAGTGATCTGCCTGCCTCTGCCTCCCAAAGTGCTGGGATTACAGGCGTGAGCCAACACGCCTGGCCACAAATGGTTTTGATCAACCTGTACCCCTTAGCAAGACAGAGTAAGTGTGGCTGGGTGCCTTCTTAACCATATATCCCAGGACATCATCAAAGATGTAATAAGCATGTGATGTGTGTGTACACTGAGGGTTGCTGCCCAGTAGACAGCCGGTGAGGGCCAGGTTCCCAACCTATGAGGATGAATCCCATGGTACATTCCATGGGGATTCTCCTGCTCCAGATCCCATGAAGACTTACCCTTATTGTACTTGAAGTGGGCATGAGGATTCCTTATCCCTGCAGTTCACATTCCTTGTAACCTAATTCCATGCCTGCTGGCCACGTCTCCTCCCACAGGTATCATGTATGAGTCCATCAGTGTCCTTTCCCACCACTCCCTGCACGGTGCTCTTGCTGGTTCTCTCTTAGTTGGCTCTGTGTCACATCAGCCCTGGCTCTCTTGCTTTTGTTTACTTTTTTTTTCATTTTTAATCATTTAGTTAATTTATTTTCGGAGACAGGGTCTTACTCTGTTGCCCAGGCTGCAGTGCAGTGGTGTGATCATAGCTCACTGCAGCCTCAATCTCTCAGACTCAAGTGATCCTCCCACCTTAGCCTCCCGAGTAGCTGGGACTATAGACCTATTCCACAACATCCAGGCAAGTTTTTGATTTTTTTTTTTTTTTTTTTTTTTTTGGTAGAGAACAGGTCTCACTATGTTGCCCAGGCTGGTCTCCAACTCCTGGGCTCAAGTGATCCTCTCACCTTGGCTTCCCAGTGTGCTGGGATTACAGACAGTGAGCCACTGTGCCTGGCCTCTTGCCTTCATTTTCTCACCATGCTTTACCTGAGGGTTTCAGACTTACTTTCTGCCCTCATATCCAGAGTCGCCAGACTCTCCCCTACTCTGAGACCAGGATGTATGGGTCACTGCCTGTCTTGGCCTGTCCATGCTGCCCCTGCCTCTCTGCAGCACACTCTCTACCTTGTTCTAGACAGCCTTGGCCGCCTGCTTCTCAGCCCTTATGGTGCTGTTTGTACAGCACAGCTTAAGACACATGTATTAGTCTGTTCTCACATTGCTATAAGGAAATACCCAAGACTGGGTAATTTATAAAGGAAAGGGGTTGAATTGACTCACAGTTCGCCATGGCTGGGGAGGCCTCAGGAAACTTACAACCGTGGTGGAAGGTGAAGGGGAAGCAATGCACCTTCTTCACAAGGTGTCAGGAAGGAGAAGTGCTGAGCAAAGGGGGAAGAGCCCCTTATGAAACTATCAGATCTCAGGAGAACTCACTCACCATCAAGAGAACAGCATAGGGGAAACCGCCCCCATGATTCAGTTACCTCCACTTGGTTTCTCCCTTGATATGTGAGGATTATGGGAATTATAGGGATTACAATTCAACATGAGATTTGGGTGGGAACACAAAGCCTAACCATATCAACACACAACAAATCCCAGCAGTTTATGATCTATTTTGTCCATCATTTTTTAAAATGGACATTTTGTTTCCCCTCTAACATTGTAAATTTTACAACCTAGCCAGTTGTCATGAGGAATGTGCCTGGAGGAGAGTGTGCGGATGCTTTCAAGCAGGGCCTAGGGGTAGCCCACATTCTTCCTACTAGCACTGTTGCCTAAAACCCAGCCACATGGCAATGCCTAACTGCAATGAGAACTGGGAGACTTGCTCTAGCTTTGTGCCCCAGAAGAAAGGGAGAATGGGCTTGGTGTACTGGCAGCTTATGCTCGTGTCACTCGCAAGAGGACAGTGGTTTGGGAGAAGTGGGCAAGGCTGAGGGATCAGTGCTCCCTGTGAGAACAGAAAGCAGGGTTGGGGAAAGCAAGAAAGGAGGCAAAGGCAGACAGAGAGATTGCACTTAGGGTTTGCAGAAGTTGGGAGGTTGTCAGGGTGTGAATACGAGGCTCCGTGAAATGGTGTGGCTGTGGGCAGTACCAGGCTGCTGTGAAATCCGGGAGAAGGACCAGGTTAGGCAAGGCCACCACTGTGGAGCTGAATTCCCACAGGGAGAAGAACAGTGAGGCCATGGATGCATGGAAATGGGGTCGGGCATGGGAGAAGACTAGTGAAAAGAACAGTGAGGCCATGGATGCATGGAAATGGGGTCGGGCATGGGAGAAGACTAGTGAAGTCTGGGCTGGGGTGAGCGGTCTTTGCCTGGGGAAGTGGATGTGGAGAAGAAGCAATGAAGCATCAGTAGGATTGGAGGTAGGAGCATGAGGAGGGAGACAGGTGAGAGGCTGGGAAGCAAGATGGGCCAACTGAAATGAAAAGAATCAATATTCAATCCAGCTCACATAAACTATAGATTCTTTAAAGAACATCTCCTTGTGGTCAGATTCAATGAAAGAAATAATATTGGCCTGTTGTAGACACTTCATAAATATTTGTTCAGTGAATTAATAAGTCCATTGAAAGCTGGCAGAGGGATTTCTCCATCCCCCAGGCAGGGAGTATACGTGGCAGTGTGTTGCTGGCACACAACACACATCTTGGTTGTCATCAGCTACCTTCCCCTCAAATCCCTGAGGGTTCTGCCAAGTTGGAGCTGCAGGTGTGGCTGGTCAGGGGGCCAGGCCCTGCCATATCCCAGCCAGAAAGGTCGGCCTTAGCAAGAAGCCAGCTCCCCGCCTGTGTCCACTTCTCCCCTGGGCTCTCTGCCTTTTTCCCAGTTTGTTTTCTTCCCTCTTCATCCCAGGGATTGGGCATGCTGGCCTCCTTTCTTGCTTGGGTTCCTTTTGTTCAAGGGCCTACAGTTTCTCAACTCTTCTACTCTGTTTCAGAAACAAACAAGAATTTGTCTTTTCCCCCAAAACAATCACCCTCACCTTTTTAGAGTTTTAGCCTTCAGCAATGGTAGGCAGGATGGCACTCAAATAATGTAATGTCTGGTCTGGCATAGAGGAACCTGAATGCACTGGCTGTGATGCTGGACAGCCAAGCACCCATTGAACACTAGCTTTGACTGCAGGGTAAGAGACCTTGATTAGCAAAAAATATGTAGGGAGCTGGGCATGGTGGCTCATGCCTGTAATCCCAGCACTTTGGGAGGCTGAAGCGGGTGGATCACTTGAACTCAGGAGTTCAAGACCAGCCTGGCCAACATGGTGAAACCCCATCTCTACTAAAAATACAAAAATTAGCCAGGCATAGCAGTCCCAGCTATTCGGGAGGCTGAGGCATGAGAATCACTTGACCCCAGGAGGCAGAAGTTGCAGTGAGCCGAGATCATACCACTGCACTCCAGCCTAGGTGACAGAGCGAGATTCCATCTCAAAAACAAACAAACAAAATATATATGGAGTCAGGTGTTAACATATTATAATAAGTAGCAGACCTCATCTTATCCTCCATGTAACAGTGATGATGGGGTGAGTGAGCATGGTGGCTTACAATAAGTTGCAAACACCAGTGTTGTAACAAACTAAAAACAATCTAAATTTTAAACACCTCTCTTTTCTCTTTTATATTATTACCACTTAGTAACTAAAAGCAGCAAAAGGCCAGGCATGGTGGCTCACGCCTATAATCCCAGCACTTTGGGAGGCTGAGGCGAGAGGATTGCTTGAGCCCAGGAGTTGTAGACCAGCCTGGGCAACATAGTGAGACCTGGTCTCTACAAAAAAAGTAAAAAATCAGTGGGATGTGGTGGCACCTGCCTGTAGTCCCAGCTACTTGGGAGGCTGAGGTGGGGAGACAGCTTGAGCCTAGGAAGTTGAAGCTGCAGTGAGTGGTGATCACGTCACTGCACTCCAGCCTAGACGACAGAGCGAGACCCAGTCTCTCAAAAAAAAAAAAAAAAAAAAAGAAAAAAGCCGCAAAGGACACTTCAACTTTCTATTGCCATTCTGCTGCTTTTCCCCTTTGGAGAGTTTGATAAGGGCATTTCTGGAGACCAGGGATCAATGCTTTGTTTGTGTACAGGAACCTCTTCCAGCATAGAGCATGGGGAGCATCTGCAAGCAGTTGTGTTGTGGCCCATTAGAAGCCCATCCTTCTTGCTTGGGTTCCTTTTGTTCAAGGAACAAAAGGTTGCCATTTTTGCCTGTTGAGATGAAGTCTCCCCTCCTCTTCTATAGGTTGAGGCTCCTCTGTACCTGTTTCTCTGCAAAAGGATATTTATCCCTCATGTTTGGTAGGTAACAGATCTCTGAATTTGGGGCAGCAAAGAAATGCTGCCTTCAGAAGGATGGAAGCTTTGGGCCCAAAGTTAGTTTCCTGCTGCAGAACTTGGCAGTGGCCTTGGCTAAAATGGGAGGCGGCACATGCTGCAAAGAGCACTGGATTTGGGCCCAAGAAGCCAGGGCCAGATGAACTTCAACTTCTTGGGTGAACTTAGGTCTGTGGACCTCTGATTCCCCACCTGTGGAAGCCAGGGGATGGCACCAGGTGATGCAGTCAAGGGCCCTTCCCCTTGGAACTTGCTATGTCTGACACCTGGCAGAGGGTCTGAGTGTCAGGTCTCTGGGATCTGAAACTGTTACGCCATCAGACATCAGGATGTCATTCATGTGAGGAGGACTTTCTTTTTCTTTTTTTTTTCAACTTTCATGTTAGATACAGAGGGTATATGTGCAGGTTTGTTATATGGGTATATTGCACTCTAAGTAGTGAGCGTAGTACCCATTAAGTAGTTTTTCGACCCATAAACTCTCCTGTCCCAGTAGTTCACAGTATCTGTTGTTCCCATGTTTATGTCTGTGGGTGCTCAATGTTTAGGTCCCACTGATAAGGGAAAACGTAGTATTTGGTTTTCTGTTCCTGCATTAATTTGCTTAGGAAGGAGGATTTTCTTAAACATCAGTCTGCCTTTTCTCTAAGGCTTTATGATATGAGGCATCCGTATTCATTGAATATGGAGCTTAGAAATATAGGTATTGAGGGGCCGGATGTGGTGGCTCACACCTGTAATCCCAGCACTTTGGGAGGCTGAGGCGGGTGGATCATGAGGTCAGGAGATCGAGACTATTCTAGCAAACACGGTGAAACCCTGTCTCTACTAAAAATACAAAAAATTAACTGGGCGTGGTGGCGGGCACCTGTAGTCCCAGCTACTCCAGAGGCTGAGGCAGGAGAATGGCTTGAACCGGGAGGCGGACCTTGCAGTGAGCTGAGATCGTGTCACTGCACTCCAGCCTGGATGACAGAGCAAGACTCCATCTCAAAAAAAAAAAAAAAAAAAAAAAAAAAAAGAAATATAGGTCTTGAGACATTTTTTCTTTCTTTCTTTCTTTCTTTTTCTTTTTTCTTTTCTTTCTTTCTTTCTTCTTTCTTTCTCCTCTCTCTCTCTTTCTTTTTTTTCTTTTTTTTTCTTTTTTTACCTTAAACTACTAAGGGTTAAGAGACATTTTCCAGATTTATAATGTTTGTATACCTGGAAGGTCATAGCCATTACTAGATATGCCCCTGGTCTCTGTCATTTTGGTTTTCTCTCTTTAAATATGCATCTATCCTTGTTCAAAATTAAAATATCTAGGCCAGGTGTTGTGGCTTATGCCTGTAAGCCCAGCATTTTGGGCGGCCATGGCGATCATCTGAGGTCAGGAGTTCAAGACCAGCCTGGTCAACATGGCAAAACACTGTCTCTACTAAAAATACAAAAATTAGCCAGGCATAGTAGCACATGCTTGTAATCCCAGCTACTCCGGAGGCTAAGGTGGCGGGATCACTTGAACCCAGGAAGCAGAGGTTGCAGTGAGCTGAGATTACACCACTGCACTCCAGCCTGGGTGACAGAGTGAGACTCCGTCTCAAAAATGAAAATAAAAATACTTAGAAAGGAACACATGGAATAGAGGCGAAGCTCTTGGCTTGTGACCTAACTCCCTCTGTTGAGTCCGCAGCACTCTCAGTTCCTTTTCTTGGGCAACAAGAACCTATAGCTACAAATCAGTTATGGCTTACTCTTTCCTTATCGGGTCAAAAATAAATCAAAAGAAATTAGTCACAGCAATTGTTTGGACTCCGTGCCAAAAGAGATCTTTACCTCTTAGGGGAATTTCCCTGTTAAGGTAGCTGCCTTACCCTCAAAAGCTTCTTCAGACCTGCCTTGCCCCGTGGTGCCTCAGCTAGTGGCTCTGAGTCCCTAGAGCTCTGGGAAAATAATGACAGGACTCGATATATAGGTAAAGATGCCTCAAAGTTGTTGAGCACATCAACAAAACCATATGGCCTGACCTAGATAGCAAGAAAGCGAACTTTGACACTGATGATAGAGATGCCTGGCACTGAGAAGAAATCTAACTTTGGTCCGCGTGGCATATGGTGTGTCCTTTGCTGTCTATAAAGCTGGAGTTGCTGAGAATAGGACTCCCTTTGTACCATCATGTTGCTGACTTGGTCTGTGCTTCCGAAGTCAGTGCAACCCTGCAAGTTGCAGCTTTAATGTGATTAATGGTGGTTTCCACACTGGCAACCAGGTGACAGTGCAGGAGCCCATGATTCTTGTTGTTGGTGCAGCTAACTTTAGGGAAGCCTCGTATGCACTGGAGCTGAGGTTTATCACAACCTCAGCTGAAGAATGTTTTTAAGGAGAAACATGGGAAAACTGCTACCAGTGAAGGGCATGAAGAGGGCTTTGCTCCTAACATCCTAGAGAATAAAGAAGCCCCAGAGCTGCTACAGCATGCACTTGGGAAAGCCAGCGACACTACTAGGGTTGTAATAGGCACTGACCTGTCCGCCTCACAGTTCTTCAGGTCTGGGAAATATGATTTGGACTTTAAGTCTCCTGATGGTCCCAGCAGATACATTTGGCCCTGTACAAGTTCTTCTGCAATGATGGGTAGTATCCATCAAAAATCCCTTTGAGCAGGATGTTGGGAAGCTCAGATGAAGTTCACTGCCAGTGCAAGTATCCCAGCAGTGGGGGGGATCATCTCATTGACCAAACTGAAGGAATTGTGCACCTGCCTCCTGCTTAGGTGAAGCAGGTTGGCTCTGTGCCCTAGTCTATTCCAGAGTGTAAGCTGGTCCAGACCAGTGAGAGAGGTGTCAGGGGTTCTCATTACTCTGAAAAAACTGACCATGCTTCCGTTGCCACCCTGGTGGTGGGGCTGTGCACTGGACTGATCAAAACAGGTGCACCTTGACAAACAGAACTGGGCCAAGTATAGTCAGTTCCTCAGAAGCAGAGGGGCTGGATAGCAAGGCTCAGTTCGCCAGTGAGAAATTCAGAAATTCTCTAGCAGAGTAAGCACTGGGCAGGCAAGCCCCTGAGCTCTTCAAGCTCTGGAAAGCTAATTAGACATCTACTTCAGACAGCTCAAGACAGCAGACCCAAACTGGCAGGGCCCTCAGGTCGTTACCCCTCCTTTTCCAGAACCCTGTGTTTTTCTTCTCACTGCTTCACTAGAACTGCTATATCAGAGCCAAGCTTGACCACCTGGAACCCCATTTAGAAAGTTCTGCTTTTAAATCTAAGGCCAGAGGCCGGGTGCACTGGCTCACGCCTGTAATTCCAGCATTTTGGGAGGCCGAGGCGGGCAGATCATAAGGTCAGGAGATCGAGGCCATCCTGGCCAACATGGTGAAAGCCCGTCTCTACTAAAAATACAAAAATTAGCTGGGCATGGTGGTGCGTGGCTGTAATCCCAGCTACTCGGGAGGCTGAGGCAGGAGAATTGCTTGAACCAGGGAGTCGGAGGTTGCAGTGAGCTGAGATTGCGCCACTGTACTCCAGTCTGGTGACAGAGCAAGACTGTGTCTAAAAAAAAAAAAAAAAATCTAAGGCCAGAATAATATATATATGTGTATCTCTCTGTGTGTGTGTGTGTGTGTGTGTGTGTGTGTGTATATATATATATATGTTTTGTTTTGTTTTTTTAACAAAGTCTCACTGTCGCTCAGGCTGGAGTGCAGTGGCATGGATCATAGCCCACTGCAGCCCGGAGCTCCTGGGCTCGAGCGATCCTCCCGCCTCAGCCTCCTAAAATGCTGGCATGAGCCACCATGGCTGGCTAGAAAACTCATTTTTCTAACCTTGTTGCACAACAAGTGTTTATGGAGCCACTTATACCTTTGATGTAGTCCTGGAGGTTGTTGACAGGCAAGATCCTCGGGGATTTAATGCACAAATAAAAAATCGTTATTAAAAAAAAACAACCCAGAATATAAACAAACATACCGTAGGCTTAGGACAATACATCTGGCTTTACTTATTTAAAAACACTGCAGCGTCTTCTTGACTTCTTGTTCTTTTTTGTGTTTGTTTTTTGTTTTTCTGAGACAGGCTCTTGCTCTGTCGCCCAGGCAGGAGTGCAGTGGCACAATCGCAGTTCACTGCAGCGTTGAACTCCCAGCCCAAATGATCCTCCTGCCTCAAGTCTCTCAAAGTGCTGGGATTACAGGTGTGAGCCACCACACCAGGCTGACTTCTTGATCTTGAATTTTATAAGGATTCTAAAGGGCATTGGGTAGTTCCAGGACATCTGAGACCTTGAGGGAGGGTGCATTCCTCTGATTTTTGTGCCTCTGCCAGCAGTCTGGCTTCTAACAAAGTGGTCAAGGGATGCTGACTCACATGAGGCTTCTGGCAAAGTGTTCCAGAGGGAAGAGGAAGGGACCAGTGTCCTAACTCCTCCAGAAAGACTCATAGGACAGCATTGGCTTCCAGCCTGCCAGAGTGGGGGGAATCTTGTTTTTCACATTCACCAGGGAAAAGGTGAAACCCCTTTGCCGGAAATGACCAGGGAGGCTTCATGATTTATAATAAAGTATATTGTTTCATTTTAAAGTTAATACCTTAACCTTCTGGTGTCCCAAATGAGGTTGAGTTGTTCTGATGTCCAGCTTTCTCCCAAACCCAAAGAAAGATTTTTCTTATCAATGTGTCGTTATCATACAAACAACAAAGATAAAAACAAAAATGTTTTTGTCACTTTACTATAACACCTCATTTAAAATTGTTCTTTCAAATCCTAATAAATACAATTCTATATTTTGGGTTTTTTTTTCCTCCTTAGTGTAAATATTTTAAATTTCTTCTTAATTCCCATAATTATTTGTAATGGCTGTCATCTATTGAAGTGATATGCTATGTTATTCTTATGGTTTAAGGATTTAGGTTTGCAAGTTTTAAAGATTATATTATAAGTAATACTGCCGTATATATCACATAGAGTTTCTCCTTTCTCTTTAGATGATTTTCTTGTAATAAGTTTCTTGGAGTAGAGCACTGGGTCAGTGGATATGACCTGTACTGCCACATTGTTCTCCTGAATGATTATCCAGCATCCAATGCCTGTGAAAGATGATAAGTGAACAACTTAAAGGTTAACTCTTGAATGCCCAAGGGAAGACTTTTCAGCTACTTATATGTCATCTTATTTATTTAACTATATATTATTTCATCTACTTATTTATTTATTTTTAGAGAGGAGGTCTCATTATGTTGCCCAGGCTGGTCTCAAACTCTTGATCTCAAGCGATCCTCCCACCTCAGTCTCCCAAATAGCTGGGATTACAGGCATGAGCCACCATGCCCAGCAATATATAACAACTTTTAAAAAATTTTAGCTATACAACTTCTGATCATTTCTGTTTCTCTTGCTAATCATGTAGGCAGTTAGGAGCATTTTAACCATCAAAATAACAACAAAACCGAACATTTTTATTATGTGTTTACAGTTTACAAAATGCTGTCATGTCCAGCAGCTCAGTTAATCCTTACAATACTTGGTGAAGCATCTGGGATAGGGATTACCATTTCCTCCATTTTCAGACAATGAAAATGGAAAGTAGAGAATTTAAGGTCAACCAGATGGAGACGCAGCCACGACATGCGATGTTTTCGGGAGACACCCTGACCACCTCCTGCTCTCTTCCTCTTTTTCCCTGCCTAGGACTTCGGAAGCCCACGGTCCATCACCTCTCGGTGTGATCTGAGGGCAAACCTTGTCAAAAATGGCTGTGGAGGTGAGATAGAGAGCCCAGCCAGCAGCTTCCATGTCCTGAGGAGCCTGCCCCTCAGCAGCAAGGGTTCGGGCTCTGCAGGCTGGGACGTCATTCAGATGACACCACAGGAGATTGCCGTGAACCTCCGGCCCGGTGAGTTGCCCACAGAAAGGGCTGGATGCTCTGGGATCAGGAAGGCCCATGGGGGAGGTGGGACTTGTTAATAATGGGACAATGAGTCAGGCCAGGCTGAGATCAGAGCCACGAGATGGTGATGGGGAGGCAAGGCTCAGACCTCAGGAAGCAGAGTATATTCTTATTGATGTGTCTGTGGACAGGCTCCTGTGGACAGAGGAAGATCTTTGCTATTTTTAAACAATTGTGGTGAAATATACATAACATTTACCATTTAAGCGTTTTCAAGTGTACAGTTCAGCAGCATTAAATTCACAATATTGTATAAACATCAGCAGTATCTATTTCCGGAACATTTTCGTCGTCCTAAACAGAAAATCTATACCCATTAAACATTAACTCCTCATTCTCTCTTTCCCTTGGTTCCTGGTAACCAGCATTCTACTTTATTTTTTATTTTTCATTTATTTTTGTTTTTAAATTTTGTTTAAATCAGGGAGCAACTGATGGCAGAAATTACAGTCATTCAGGGTGTAGTGGCTGCCTACTCTACTTTCCGACTCTGAACTTGACTAGTCCAGATACCTACCATAAGTGGAATCATCCAATATTTGTCCTTTGAAGTTTGACTTGTTTCACTAAGTGTAATGTTTTCAAGTTTCACACATATTTTGGCATGTGTCAGCACTTCATTCCTTTTTTGGCTGAGTAATATTTCATTGTATGGGTGTATCACATTTTGTTTATTCATTTGTCAGTGAACATTTAGGTTGTCTTCAACTTTTGGCTCTTGTGAATAATGCTGTGGTTTATTCTAGGAGGATGCTGGTAGATTTACTCCTTAGTGAATGCAAGTTGCTCAGGAAACACGCCACTTTTAGGAAAAAGTGTTTTTTCCTGTCAGCAAATTCCATTTGAGTCTGTAGCATTCTGCAAGGACAAACTTTTAGAGTGGAGATATTTTGTTTTGTGACCATGGGGCCCTGCAAGCCTTAGAGTTGCTTAATATAAGGAAACGGTAATATAATTACTTATAATGTAATATAAAGAAACAGTTTTGCACACCTACTATGTGCTAAACACTTGACCTAACTTTAAGGTAGCTATCTTTTTTTTTTTTTTTTTTGAGATGGGGTATCGCTCTGTCACCCAGGCTGGAGTGCAATGGCACAGTCTTGGCTCATTGCAACCTTCACCTCCCGGGTTCAAGAGATTCTCCTGCCTCAGCCTCCCTAATAGCTGGATGTGTACCACCACGCCCAGCTAATTTTTTTGTGTGTGTGTTTTTAGTAGAGATGGGGTTTCACCATGTTGGCCAGGCTGGCCTTGAACTCCTGACCTCAGGTGATCTACCTTCCTCGGCCTCCCAAAGTGCTGGGGTTACAGGCGTGAACCACCATGCCTGGCCAGGTAGCTCTCATTTTACACACAAGGAAACAACCTGCTCAAGGTCTCTCAGTAAGTGGTGAATCGATTCAGCCCCAGGTCTTGGTAACCACAAACCCATGGCTGTTTCTAGTTCACCACTTTTATCATTGAATATTCTGCATATTAGAAGCCTTGCAATGTCAAAGGGTTAGATGTGCATGTGGCTAAATTGGAAAGTATTACGCTATTGGGAAGGGGCAGATTTTTTCACATTTTACTGATTTTTTGCTGTTTTCTTCTATCCCATGGTCTAGGAAACCATTGGCAGTAGCTATTTGTAGATGGTTTATTTAGACTCCAGGGAAGCTTGTAGCAGTGGAAAGATCATGGATCTGGCTGGCTCTCTTGGGTTCTAGCTCTGGCTCTGTCCCTAGCTTGGAGGCCCTGGGCAAGTTACTCCATCTCTCAGCATCTTAGGGTCTTTGTCACCTTTGTTCCTCATGGGCATGTTCAGAGGCTTAAATGGACTTTTTGTATCAGTGAACTTTTCAAAGTTAAAATTTTTATTATTTTCAAAGAGCAGTGGCCGAGGGTACCAGATGGAGGTTTGACCAGGGATGCTCAGTGCCTTGGAAATGGATTAACACAGTGCTGCATGTGGTAAGCACTCAGTAAAGCTCGTTGTTGTTGCTGTGGTTATCATTGTATGGTCTGCACCAAGAGTTTTTAAAGAAAGCTCCAAGTCATCATATAGTTGAGAAATGTTTTATTTTGTCTATTTTAATTGTCTTGAAAATAAGAAACAAAAGAAGAGTGTAAGTTGGCCCTGCTGGATAGAGAAGCTTAAACTATTGGGTTGCCTGCCCAGGAATCAGTGTTGAGATTAATTGAAGTTAGGATTTTTGCAAACCTTCTCACTGTAAGCAACACTCAGCCTTTTTGTTTAGTGAGATACTGAATTGAGAGAGAAAAGGAAGGGAACTCTTACAGAGCTGTGTGAGTGGGTAGAAAAAAGTCAGCTGAGCACTTATGTGGGCAGATGGTTGGTAATGTCCTCTGGGGAAAGAGAAATCTCTTATGTGAAGACAGACTCAGGGTCCAGGGTTTGGACCGAAAGGGATATAGGAGTTGTTATAGACCCTTAATATGTTGGAACATCGTGTTGTATAAGAATAGTGTATTTTCTTTTTTATCATAGTAACAGTATAGCAATAACACATGAAATTCTAGAAAAATAATCCACTTTAACATAAAATTATTTTTCATTTTTACTATGTCCTCTGTATTATTCACCTTTTTGTATTTTTCATATACTTATCATAATGTATGTATAATCGTGCTATTTTCATTCAATAATCTTTGAAAATTAGGAAAAAAATTCACACCTCCAAAAGAGTTTGTAGTTTCAGAGCCATTGTGGAGGAAGGTTTTAATTTACATTTTCTGAACTCCTCATCTAGAATAGCTCTCAAAGCCTGTGGTGTTCTCTCCAAGAAGTATCCTTTATGGTGGCAAGTCTCTCTTCTTCAGGATAGACTTAACTTAGACAAGAGTTGCATCACACAAATCCAAAGATGTCCACACTTTAATAATTCCAGTTTTTAAAATGAGAATTAAGGTGTGAGTGTGAGCAGAGATGGTTGTCTGGTTTGACTATCAACTGGCTTTTACAGCAGTTCCTGTAGAAGAGTTAGAGAGTTAGAGAAGGCCGGGTGTGGTGGCTTATGCCTGTAATCTCAGTGGTTTGGGAGGCCAAGGAGAGAGGATCGATTGAGGTCAGAAATCTGAGACCAGCCTGGGCAACATAGTGAGACCCCGTTGCTATGGGGGAGACTGAGGTGGAAGGATCCCTTGAACCCAGGAGTTTGAGGCTCCAGTCTAGATGAAGATGAGACTCTAAAAAACAAAAACAACAACAACAACAAGAACCCAAAATAAAAAATAAGTGATTTGAGTAACGGCAGGTTTGCATACAATCCGTATTTATGCATAAAACTCAATATATGCTCAGTTAAGGAAGAAAATCATTCTTATTTGGTATAGTTACATCTCCTGCTAAGCATTATGATATGATTTCTGGTATTAGAAATAAAATGGAAACCGTGATCCTATGTTGATACAAAACCACAGTGTGGATGCTGTGTAGCTCTGTCTTGCGGAAGGTGTCGTGGTGGAGAGCCCAGTGCTGGTGGTGTCAAGCAGTTGGAGGAGCTGACTGCCTCCTGAAAACACACCCAGACTATGAAGAGGGTTCAGTCTGAAGAGATGAAGACTAGGAAGAGATCTGATGAAAATACGAGTTCCTAAGACCTACAAGCATTGTGAATATGTTTCCCAAATGTAGAAACACTTGAAACCAATGATGCCTCTTAAAATTTTGAAAATATAATTTTAACATTTACAAAGAGAAGTACAGGCAAACCTGAAGAATTTGTGGGGAGAGAAAAATGGTATGTGGCAGTTAGCAAAATTTTCAGTCATGCAAAATGCATATTTGCCTCAGGGTATCTCCCCCCTGACTCTAGGGAGGGCTTTCAGGTATATAGGGGTTGGTTTTTCATATATCTATCTATATATATGTAGAGAGAGACAGAGTCTCGCTCTGTCGCCCAGGCTGGAGTGCAGTGACGTGATTTCAGCTAACTGCAGCCTCCAGGTTCAAGCGATTCTTATGCCTTAGCCTTCTGAGTAGCTAGGACTGCAGGCACACACCACCACACCTGGCTAATTTTTGTATTTTTAGTAGAGACGGGGTTTCACCATGTTGGCCAAGCTGGTCTCGAACTCCTGGGCTCAAGTCATCTGCCCACCTCGGCCTCCCAAAGTACTGGGATTACAGGTGTGAGCCACTGCGCTGGGCCTCCATTGTATATTTTTAGAAATGCTTTTGTGTCTTCTTCCTTGCCCTACCCCCCATGCCTCATAATAGTTATTCGTTGAGTGAAATATAAGACTTTGCCAGACTTATCGCAGACTAATCAAGGACAAGCCTCAGCATAATATGAAAGACACTTCATGAAGGCAAAGTAATTGTTCCAAGGTAAGTCTCAGGAAGGAAATAAAAATTAAAAAGAATTTCTGTCTACTTTAAGCAGGACATTTTTTATTTTTTTAAATTGAGATATAATTCACAGACCATAAAATTCACTAACTTAAGGTGTACAATTCAGTGGTTCTTAGTATATTTGCAAGGTTGTACAGTCAACACCACTGTCTGATTCCAGAACATTTTCCAAAAAGAAGTCCCATACCCGTGAACAGTTACTGCTTAAACTACCGTCTCCCACCCTCCCCTTTCAGCCGCTGGTATCCACTCGTCTACTTTCTCTCTATATAGTTTTGCATATTCTGGACATTTCCTATACGTCATAAAATGTGTGGGTCTTTTAGCTGGTTTCTTTCACTTAGCAACATGTTTCAAGGTTCATCCATGTTGTAGCATGTACTTCATTCCTTTTTATGGCCAAATAATATTCCATTGTGGAGGTATAGATATACTATATTTTAGTTTATGGACATTTGGGCTGTTTCTACTTTGGGACAATTCTTTTTTCTTTTAATAACTCCACAGTTAACACCCTATACTTTGGGGCAATTATGACTAATGCTGCTATGAACGTTCATGTACACACTATTGTGGGGACATATGTTTTCAATAATCTTGGGTCTATAGCTAGGAGTGGAATTGCTGGGTCATATGGTAATTCTATGTTTAACTTTTTGAAGGACTGCCAAGCTTCAAGCAGGATTTTGTGTAAATATAGGATCATGTTTTCCATTTTATTTCAGTACTGGAAACTACATGTCAGGATAAGAACCTTAGAAAAAATCATTAACAAAGAGCATAAAATCCTTAAGAAAGGACATAAACTTGAAAGTAAAGCTTATTGAGAACCGTCAAAAGCTAAAGGTGGTTTTGAAACACTGAGCAATTAAGAATAGTTTATTAAAGTCATTATTGGCCTCAGTCCTTTAACCTCTTAAAAAATGACCCTTGATTGGTAGCTTTCTTACATTTTGAAATAATTTTAGACTCACAAGAAGTTGCAAAAGTAACACAGAGATGTTCTATGTACCCTTCTCCGCTGTCCTCAATGATAGCATCTTAATATAACAAAAGTACATTCTCAAAACCAGGAAACCAACATGGTTACAATACTATTAACTAAACTACAGGTAATTGGTTGCTTTTGGGTTTCCTGCCAGCCCCTATTTTTTTCCTCCCTTCTCCTTCCAGGTTCTACTTGGAAGAACCAGTTTTTAGGTATTGCTTCTGCAATAAAGTTGCCACCCTGGGTGACAGTGTACATAGCTTAAATAGACGAAGAAAGTCTTTTGATGATGGCTGGATAAGGGGTTATTTTAAAGGAAACCAGAAGTATCGAGCCCTGGGCTTGGAGGCAGACACTGTGGAGGACAACTGTGTCTTCAGGTGACTTGTTCCTTGGTTCCATAGGTCAACAGTCACAATTCTGAGGTGGAGAGGGGGTGCAGTACAGCCTGGCATCCTTGTTCTAAACCAGTGAGGCAATAATTTGGTTCTAGATCTGGATTTAATCCTGGGATACTAAGTGCCTTCTGCTGTAGTGACTGGAAGAGCTGTCTGCTCATTTATAATGTGTGCACCAGGGCCTTAATTTTCTGTTCAGTTGTAGTCCTGTTATAATAGAGTTGATTTTTATGTTTCCCTTCTTTCTTTCAGTTTCCAGCACAGAATAGTACTTCTAGGGAATCAAAAACCATTTGCATTTATTTTGGGATGGCAAAGGTCTTTATTTGCTGAGGTACTACTTTGTCTTAACACTTTGAACAAAATCAGTCTTAAGAGTTTTTGACTCAAAGGCAGGAAACCTGAGGGAAAAGAAGAAAGAAGAAAAAATAAATAAAAATTAAAAAAAGTTTTTGAGGCTGGGCATGTGGCTCACACCTATAATCCCAGCACTTTGGGAGGCTGAAGGGGAGGATCACTTGAGCTCAGGAGTTTGAGGCCAGCCTGGGCAACATGGCAGGACTTTGTCTCTACTAATAATTTTAAAATTAGCCAGGCATGATGGCACATGCTTATAGTCCCAGCTACTTGGGAGGCTGAGGTGGGAGGATTGCTTGAGCCTGGGAGGTTGAGGCTGCAGTGAGCTGTGGTTGTGCCACTGTACTCTAGCCTGGGTGACAGAACAAGACCGTGTCTCAAAAAACAAAAAAGTTTTTGCTGGAATTCTCAACTCATTCTCTAGAAGTGTTTGTCATTTGATATATATCCCTAAGGAAAATGCCAACTTTTCACTTTTTATTAAAGGGAAGGCAAAGAGAAGAAAGCTTTAAAAATACATTTCAGATAGAATGCTAGTTGATACCCGATTACAGTGGAAGAACCTGTACTTACAAACTGAGCAGTGCAGAAATTCTGTGCAAAATGCAGTTGGAGCTGGCTACTCTGGAACCAGGAACAAGCAGAAGGACATGAGGGGGGCTGCCTGGGGTAGCATTTCACAGGTGCCAGGTGATCAGCTTCTGTTTTGAGTTTGCCATTTCTCTGGTCCTGCCCCTGGTCCTGAGGCTGGCAGGAATTACGTGGAACAGCCCCAGAGAGAAGGGATATAGCTACAGGGATACATGAGCCTGTAGAGACCCTAAGTGGAGAGGGAAGGAGCAGAGAAGGATGAATCCTGACACATGGGCCGGGATGGTGTCACCAGAGACGGGCACAGACCAAGACAGGCAAATTAAAGGCGAGAAGCGCTTCCCACTCTGCCGGGCAGCGGGAGGTGGCGATTGGCTTAAAGTCTCGGGTGTTTTTAAAGGAAAGCAGCGTGGCCGGGAAGGAGTTGGAAGGGAGGAGAGTGCTTAAGCGTGCATGGTTCTGGAAGTGTACCCAAAGTTGGAAAACATACCCAAGACCTTCTCTCAGCAGAAAGTGCACTTCACATGCATTAATGGCTTCACCTTCAGGCTGTTAACGTTAGAGGCCTCCCTTTTTGGGGAGTTGTTGGTACACTGGAAGCTTAATGCCCACACCATGGATCTGACCAGGAATGTCAGTCCCTCCAGGATCTGCTGACAGAACATTCTGTCATTGCCACGGCCTATTCAGGAGTCTGTGGCATTTAAAATCAAGTATATTAGAGGCAGCAATAAACCCTCATTCTGAACATCAGTGGTGTTACCATCTTTCTTACATCCCTCTCTTTCTGGAAAAATGGCACACTATTTCTTTTTAACAACTGCAGCCTTCCTTTGGGAAGGGATGTGTGCGTGTGTGTGTGTGTGTGTGTGTGTGTGTGTGTGTTTTCTTACTGATCAATTTCTCTTAGAATGTAATGCCAAGAAGTTTCTTGCTTCAGAATAGATAGCCTCTTAGGATACAAAGGGACCTATATATCATGCCTTCTTTCCCTCAGCCCTCATGTCTGGAAAATTTAGGGTTAAATTTGTATGCCCAAGGCTGTAGCTGTTGAAATTCAAGTTGCTGGCAGGATTTTCTGTCTCTCTTTTTATCCTCACAGGAAATTGCTTCAGTAATTGACTTTTGGGAAAACCGAGGCCAAAGTTTTCTTTGTGTAGGAACATTTGTGTGGTGTTTATCTCTTTTAATCCCTATAATAGTTAATATCCTCCCCACTTGACTGATGCAGAAACCGAGCAGTGAGTTGAAGAGAGCCTGAGTTCTCCCTAGTCCTTGGTGACAGGGTCTGGATTCAAACCCAGCTTTCCTGCTTCCAAGCCTCTATCCCATAGATGCCTCTCAGCCTCCCGGAATCCAAGCCAATTATTTGTTTCCTGGTTTTAAAGTGCCCATCTGTTAATTTCTTATAATTCGTAAAAAAGTAGAAGTAGATTTTGGATAAAATAAGTTGTAGGTGGGAACTTGGGGGGACAGGTGGCAGAAAATGCAGAAGACCTGTGAAAAGATCATGGCATCAGGCAGAGGAAATAGGATTGCAGGCTCTGTCCATTTGGGGTCTGTTGTCTGCCCATGCAAGGGCCAAGGAGGGAGCTCCCTTCCCCCAACTCCCCCCTCTTCCCTGCCCCTCCCTCACTGTGATGTGGCACCCAAGGAGCCCTCTGGCGGGACAAGCTGTGTCTGTCTGACCAAAGGCAGACACTGCAGCAGCCTGGAATTCATTCTGGAAGAAAACCTTGAACATTCCTCTGTTTGAGTCAGACTCTGATGGTTTTTTTTTTTGTTTTTTTAAATTATTATTATTATACTTTAATTTTAGGGTACATGGGCACAATGTGCGGGTTAGTTACATATGTATACATGTGCCATGCTGGTGCGCTGCACCCACTAACTCGTCATCTAGCATTAGGTATATCTCCCAATGCTATCCCTCCCCCCTCCCCCCACCCCATGGTTTTAAAAAATAGGCTTATACCAATAGGCAACTCAAACTCCATCAATCCTGAGGCGCCTAGAACAGTACACGCAAAGACAAGTCAGGGGAAGCAGGCTCAGAGCTGCCACTCTGACTGCAAGCAGTAATGATCATAATCATACTTCATCCGTGCAAGCCTGTACTGCTCATAAAACACTGCTCTCCCTCATGAGCGCATCATAGGCTTAATTGATGCTGTGAGCATTGTTACTTCCATTTTATATTTCAAGAAACCGTGGCCCAGGTTGCACTCCTATTCAAGGGACAGAGCTGGAACTTGAACTAAAATCTTTTGATCATTGGATTCTTCGTGATCTAGTTAGTGAAATATGCCTTGTTGTCACGGTGGGAGGAGGAGAGGAAGCATAGAGGATTGAGTTCCCTGCAAGTTAAAGAAGGCTTCAGCTTGCTAGTTGTCAGCTTGAGATGAAAGACTGGTTGCTCTGAGATGTGGCTGCCGGCAAGTCAGGTGTAGACCCGCTGGGCAGGAGTGAGGCCACCTTTGCTGTTGTGCCTCTACACACACAAAGAATCTATCCAAATTTCAAGTATGTGTAGACAGTTCTACTGCAGGATAAATAGGGCATCTCTTGGCACTCCTGAAAGGTTAATAAGCCCAAGGCAGATAGAATGATCTGGTATGAGTTGAGCCTTAAAGTTGGTTCTAAGTGATTTGTTTTTAGAAATTATGAAATGATTTCAAGATCATTATCGTGGCCTGGGTCTTCCAGTTATTGCCCTGACTTGAGCCTCTCTTTGAACTCTATAGGGTGAGACAGAAAAGGCCACACCTGCCAGACACTAGCTTTTCTCTTTGTTCTTTTCCTCTGAATTAATTCCCCTTTTCTCTGCCTGTTGGCTATCTTATTGTAGCTGGTAGACAAATCTAGTGCTGTCTTTTCTCTTTCTTCTTGTTTTCTTTTTTCGATAGAGCTAAAATTTGGAATCTGTCTTCCTGTATTTATATATGTAGTTTCCAATGATAATGAGTTGTGCCTGTGATGTCCCAAAACATCAAATATGCCCCCCAAATAAATACTAGTCTGGTAAATGGCGAGAGAAATAGAAACAAACACAGGTGATGTGGCATAAGCATGCATATTTTTGCCCATTGGGGTATTTTAAACAACGATCTTTGTTTCTCTGCCCTCCCTTGCCTTGCACATCTCTCTCCCCAACTTGGTTCTTCCCCACTCAGGCCCACACCCCTCTTTTGTTCATTTCTTCCCTGCTTTTTGTTTCAAACGCACATTCCCATCGTGACTGGGTCTTTCTCTGGAGTTGGTATGTGGTTGGTGGGCTACTCTCCACCCAGTTTGTGTTCATGAAATTGTCTGGTTCACTGTCCACTGATTACTCAAGGGTCTTTGTTGCTGAGAAGACAGAACACTACCAAGGAGCCTGGTTGTTAAGGAGTTTCCTTAGAAATGCTAAGCCCAGGCCAGGCGTGGTGGCTCACACCTGTAATCCCAGCACTTTGGGAGGCTGAGGTAGGTGGATCACTTGAGGCCAGGAGTTGGATACCAGCCTGGTCAACATAGTGAAACCCCGTCTCTACTAAAAATGCAAAAATTAGCCAGGCATGGTGGTGGGCACCTGTAATCCCAGCTACTCAGGAGGCTGAGGCATGAGAATCGCTTGAACCTGGTAGGCAGAGGTTGCAGTGAGCCAAGATCGCACCACTGCACTCCAGCCTGGGCGACAGAGCAACACTGTCTCAAAAAAAATAAAATAAAATAAAAAAAGAAGTGCTAAGCCGAATGTTTAGGAAGGAGAACCCAGGCCTCCATTCTCAGCACCGTATTCCCTTCAGGCACTTTACTTCCAAGAAAAATCTTCTGTGAGGCACACAATCACTAAAGAAAAGTAAGAGGCAAACTAGCTTTGAAAGCAAATCCCATCCCTCAGCCCTCAGCAGGTTGCACAACCTCTAACACACGTGGCCTCTCTGTTGGTGCAGGTGACAAGACCACCTTCCAGCTACAGGTTCGCCAGGTGGAGGACTATCCTGTGGACCTGTACTACCTGATGGACCTCTCCCTGTCCATGAAGGATGACTTGGACAATATCCGGAGCCTGGGCACCAAACTCGCGGAGGAGATGAGGAAGCTCACCAGCAACTTCCGGTTGGGATTTGGGTCTTTTGTTGATAAGGACATCTCTCCTTTCTCCTACACGGCACCGAGGTACCAGACCAATCCGTGCATTGGGTAAGTGACCAGTTGCCCTTCTGTTGGGTACTTAAGGGTGGGAGAATGGAGAAGCAGGAAAATTTAGCTCAAAGAAAGAATTAAGGAAGGCATGGTTAGGAGGGGTGGCCAGGCTTAGGCGTTTAATTTGATTAATGATAAGCATACATTCTCTCCTTTCCTGACGTGTGAAGAAGTGAGTGAACTGTCACAAGGTTGTAAAGATAAAATGATCACAACCCCTTGATTTTCCTGCCTGCCATGCACAGCACCATTTGCTCACATTAATAGAATTCAGAAAATGTCCTCAGGGAGTGATGGATCCAGATTATCAGGGAGGCAGCAGGCAGGGCAACTTAAACTTTCCCCTTGCTTGTAGTAACTGAGGTGCTTTGGGAGAAATGAATTCAAAATTTGTCCCTGTTGTTTTTCTATAAATAACTATAACTTATTTTCACATAATTAGATTAAAATCCTATTTTAAATGTAAGAATTTTTTTTTCAACATAAACACCTGAACTAGAAAAGATTTGACATATTATTAGAAAACAGGTGTCTCTAACTGCTGCCAGATTCTATAATAACAAAGTGTATAATGGCTCAAACTTGCTGGAAGTTTATTTCCTGCTCCTCAAGTCCAACTGGGTCTCTTCATCCATGGAACTTCTCCTGCAAGCAGTGACTCAGGGACTCAGGTGCTTTCCATCTTCCAGGCTTTACCATCTTCCACACATGGCTCCTAAGGTCATGCTGCCTAGAGGGTCATGCATAGGAGGATAGGCCTTTGCCATGCCCGCTCCCACATGCTATTAGACGGAACAGGACTGAGCCAGGAGGCTGGGAACTAGTGTAGCTGTAGGCCCAGGAATCAGAAGAAATAGGATTAGTGAGCAGGTCTCTGCCATGGGACGTTTGTATGCATGCTGGGGTGGGTGGTTGTATGAGGGGATTGCATTCTTCAGCCCATGCAACACAACCTCTACTAGGTTGGTTTCTTTTCTTTTTAGTCTTTCAGGAGTTTCTTTAAATGTCAAGATTATGCAAGTGACTGCAGTGAGTGGTAACTTCCAACTCTTGCTTTCCTCATCTCCACATTTAACTTTAGTGAGGGTTTGTGTTGTAAGGTCCAAAACTAGTCATGAGATAGGAAATAACTAAGACTTAAGTTTTTACTAAGTGTCAAGCCCCATACTAAATATTTTCTGTGGATTATCTCATTTAAATCTCATAACAATCTGTTGAGGTCTCTAAGGTAAGTGTAAGCCAGATTTTAGAGATGCAGAAACTGAGGCCTAGAGAGAATAACTTACCCAATATTATACAAACAGCAAGGGGTAGAGCTGGAATATGAATACAGACAAACTACTTTTAGAGTCTGCATTTGCATTTTTTTTTGAGACGGAGTCTTGCTCTGTTGCCCAGGCTGGAGTGCAGTGGTGCAATCTCGGCTCCCTGCAACCTCCGCCTCCCGGGTTCAAGCCGATTCTCCTGCCCCAGTCTCCTGAGTAGCTGAGATTATAGGTGCCTGCCACCACACCTGGCTGATTTTTGTATTTTTAGTAGAGATGGGGTTTCACCATGTTGGCCAGGCTGGTCTTGAACTCCTGACGTCAAGCGACCCATCCACCTCAGCCTCCCAAAGTGCTGGGATTACAGGCATGAGCCACTGCATCCGGCCTGCGTTTGCGTTTAATATAATGTCTTCTTCCCCATTCAAATCACACTACAACACAGACACTTTACCTTAGGCTGAGTAATAATACCTGTCCCTAAACCACCCTACCCCCATGTCCTAGGGGCTTACCTGAGGATCATGGTAGGTTATGCTGCAGTAACGTAGAGTCTCCAAATCTCAGTGGCTCAACACAATGAACGTTTTTTTTTTGTTGGTTTTTTTTTTTTTTGCTTGTGCAACATCTGATGAGGGCTGAGCTGCTTTCCTTGGCAGCTCTCCATGCAGTAACTCAGGGATCCAGCTCCTTCCATCTTGTGATGCCATTCTCAATTCTTGGTCTTCCAGCTGCCACCAAGGGGAGAGAGCTGTTCTTAAATCCCTGAGCCCTCCCCTCTCCACAAGTCCTCTTTGGTAGCCTTCAGAGCTCCTAGCTCCAAGTTGGGCTGGGTGATAGGAGCAAGTTAGTGTGCTGGTGGCATAGGCTCTTCTGAATCCCTCCAGATCCTTCTGTATACTCTCCCAGAAGCTGACTTAGATCTTTTCAGGTATTGGGAACTGACACTGGTGGAAAAACAGACAAGAAAAAGTTTTAAATACAAATGAACTCTAAATTCTTTAACCACGAAGAGGCACTAGGCATCATCATTTGCTGGGTTTAGCTTCCTCCTGGCGACAGGTGGCCACAGGGACTATTACTACTTTGATTCTGTCTCCAAGGCCCTTTTCAGCTAAGTCTGGGTGTCAAATGTTTTTGTTGAAATTTTGCTGCTTACCAGGAGCAACAGCATCTTAACTGCAAGCCTTAAGCCTTTTTTCAATTCATCTGAAATAGTGATTTTATTTGCTTCTTTTCACCTCTGTCCTAATTGGGCCCTGTCTCCAGACAGATAGGGTGTGTCCCCACTTTCATTCTTCCAAGGCCCTTCCACTGACCGAGACACTAGATTGGAAGCTGGCAGAGAATCAAGGGCTGGCTCTAGGCGCTCAGCATTTAAATATTCAAAGTTATGACACATCATTACTTATTCAGAGCTCACTCTCTAAGTCCTCTAAGGCAGAGCCTGTTGCAGACAGTAAAACTCCTGACAGTGAGTACAAGGCACACTGAAAAGCTACTTGTAAGGCAGGAAGTCCAGTGAAGAATGAGAATGTGGAAGGAAACCTCGGGCCTGAGTTATGTGAAGCTCTCTTCTCTGAGCTGGGGAGGCACACGCAGCGTGGGGGCACACTGTGGCTTGGTGAGCAGGCCGAGCTTTGTCTCCCCACGTCCAGGCAGCACGGCATCCTGTGTCTCCTGGGTTCAAGTGATTCTCCTGCCTCAGCCTCCTGAGTAGCTGGTATTACAGGCACGTGCCACCACACCCAGCTAATTTTTGTATTTTTTAGTAGAGATGGGGTTTCACCATGTTGGCCAGGCTGGTCTTGAGCTCCTGACCTCAGGTGATCCACCCACCTCAGCTTCCCAAAGTGCTGAGATTACAGGGGTGGGCCACCACGCCCAGCCTAAAGTATTTTAAATTATTCTGTTTCTGTTTCTTGAATTGTGGATCCTTCAGGTGGATCCACAGCCAGTCAGTGTATTGGACCTGCTGACATGCCTTCATGAATTGTTTTTCATGCAATTTATAAGCTTTTCATTAGCTCTTCCTTGGAGGTTGTGGGGGCATCCCTGCAGAGCAGTTTTATGTTTGCCGTTGTCGAGAATCTCCAGGTTCACCGTGGGACTAGTTTTTCTGTTAATTTTTCAAATGGAGATGTCTTCACCATAAAAGCAGTGTATTCCAATTGCTCAGGCCTGGAGTTACAGTTTTTATGGGTAATTCATCTCATTCATGGTAGATGGTCAGCTTCCGTGCTGCTTTCCTAGACCAGTAGCTGGAGTTTTTCTGTTTCTGGTTTTAGTAGCACAGCAGCTCATTGTGCTGTTCGGCTTTATGCAGACAGCCCTATTCCAGTGTTCAGCCCTCTGCAGGACTGAGGCTCAGCATCTATTCCTGGTAGACCCTGCTCCAAGCCTGTAGGGCCTCAGTCAAGGCCTGACCCATTGCGGGGGTCCTTGGCATGAGTGCCTGCCCATTTCCTACCTTTTTTTTTTGAGACCGAGTCTTGCTCTGTTACTCAGGCTGGAGTGCAGTGGCGGGATCTCAGCTCACTGCAACCTCCACCTCCTGGGTTCAAGTGATTATCCTGACTCAGCCTCCTGAGTAGCTGGGATTACAGGTGCCCACCACCATGCCCAGCTAATTTTTGTATTTTTAGTAGAGATGGCGTTTCACCACGTTGGCCAGGCTGGTCTTGAACTCCTGACCTCAGGTGATCTGCCTGCCTCAGCCTCCTAAAGTGCTGAGATTACAGGCGTGAGCCACTGCACCCAGCCCCCACCTATTCTTTTAAGTCCATTCATTTGTTTTTTGGTGTTTTCTTTTTTTTTTTTTTTTTTTTTTTTTTTGCCAAAACCAAATACTTCTGAAAGGTCCATTCATTTATTGAATGGTTTCCTCTTCGTTTCTGGGATTTACTTTCTAAGCTTCCAGCCTAGGCTATATATTAAAAAATTTTAAATTACATTTTATCCAGCAGTTGTATATGTTTAGAGTTAGAAGAAGCAGATAAGATGTTTTCATTCCTGTTCCATGACATGGAGAGCCTTTCCATGTCAGCTTGATCCATGATATTCTCCTGAGGCATTAGATTGTTTTCTGGATTTGCCTAGGTCTGGTGTCTTCAAATTGGATTCACTTTTTATACATACAGACACTCCCTTGGCTCTTTAACCATATATATTTTATTTTTTATCTCCCTTGTTAATAATCCTTAATTTAGTAACTCTGTATGCATGGCGCTTATTTGGGGTCTCACAGCACAGACACATGAGAGGGGTAGGATAGTCTCCTGGCATGACCCCAGAACGTCCGGATCTTCAGGCCACTCAGACAGCTGCTCTGGGGTTAAGTCAGATAACTCATCACAGGTGACATCCTATTCCAGTGTCAGTGGAGACTCTCCTAGCGTCTGTGTGACAAAGCTCTTTTCCTAAGTGACTCTGACTTGGTTATAGTAAATTCTCTACAATGAAGGCTTCTCTCTGGCAAACACATCTTCTAATTCCTAACTACTTAACAGTCATTCTTTGCAGTAAAAATGTATCTGCTCATTGCTGTTTGCGGGAGTGAAAGGGAGGAGGTAAAACATGCTGAGCTGTAGCTGAGTTTGTCACAGCTTTCCTGGTTAAACAGCAATCATTATTCAGTTTCTTTTCTCCCTGTCCGCAACCAACCGGACCAAGTGTAAAAAAACCACACACCTGAAGTCCTAAATCATGGGCCAGAGCCACATAGGCCAGGGCAGGATCTTGGAGGAAGAGAGAGGGGGAGAGTTTGGATAGACTTACTTCCTTCTGGGCCTATGATCCACTTGCCAAATAGCTACAGATGGGACCTCAGTTCCTTCTTCCAGCTGGGAATGTAATTTCCATGATTGTTCTTTTCATGACAAAATGAGGAGGTAATGGAAAGTTTGGGTGGCCCGAGGCTGAGGTTAAAAGAGAGTTCCACCTGTCCAAGTACAAGGTGTTCATGAAGACTTCGGGAAAGGAGAAGGGAGAAACACAAAGGAAAGCCAGGCAGGGAGATCCCATCGCTGCCGCCGGCCCCGAGAGGGAGAGCGCGACTATCACAGGAGTGGGGCTGATTGATTCTGTGCAGGGTGGGCCTGTTGCTGGGGACTCTGTGCTGTGCTGTTGTGACTGTGTGGATGGAGAAGGGACTGTAGCCCTGAGAGGGAATGGAATAGCCCCTTAGAGAACCAAAGATTGCCCCTTTACAGAAGGGAGCCTGCCCAGACCTGCCCTGGTGAGTCTGCTTTTTGACAGCATTTAAGGCAGGGTCCTCCTAGCTGTTGCTAAGGCTGTTTTCTTTCCCATGTATGCAGCTTGAATTAGATTATAAAGCCTTTCCCTCAGGCCTGTTAGTGCTCGTTTTCCATCATTTATCCTGAAAGAGCGACTTCCTTAACATGGCTGGAGACCCTGCACAGTCTGGCCCAGCCTGCCTCCCAGGCTCCTCCTCGCCCATCCTCACCCGTTACTCTGCACCACAGCCCCCCGACCTCCCTCTGTCCTTGGGCTCTGTGCTCCCTTCTGCCACAGGACTCTTGCACATGCTCTTCTCTGGCTGGGACACTCTCCCCTCTTCCCTTTACTTTGTGAACCCATTGGTAAAACAATATAAGCTCTCTCTTCCAACTTTATTAGTTCTAGATCAAGCTGAAACTCTTAGAGCTGTAATGGAAAGTAACTCCCTTCAGGAATAGGGCCACTTGGAGTCTCCACAGGAGACTGAAAAGGAGATCACCCCATATTTCAGGAGAAAGGCTTGGTATTAACCTATTATTGATGTGTAATACTTCCTTCTTTTGTAATTTCCAGACATAACTTTCCATTTGAAGATGCTTAGTTTCTAAATAATTTTTATTGCATTTAGCAGAATTGATAGTTTGTTGGTACAATATTTAGAAACGAATGAAGAAGCAGATAAGATGTTTTCATTCCTGTTCCATTCAGCATTTGTCCATGTGCCTGCACATCCTGGTCACTGAGTGGATTGACATGACAAGATTATGTGATCCTGTGATCCTTTGTTGCGTGGCAGCAACATTGATGTAGAAGCTGGTTGCATGGAGTAACTGCACTTACATTGCCCTCACTGGGCATCATCCATGTTCCTTAGCCCAGAGGACACTTCCTCTCCACTCTGCCTAGGCTGGCCCACACCCCGGGTCCCACATACCTTTCAATGCCTATGTCAAGTCTTCCTCCAACCACAGTAGCCTACTATTATCTCTGTTTCCTTTGAACAATTTGTCCATACCATTCATTTATAACTTGGCATATACTGCCTTGCCTGCAGTTTAGGGCTGATGTTTGGAGAACAGGAACTATGTTATTTATCTTTGCTCTCTCTGCTGTGCCTGTCCTGGGGCATGTGGTAGGTGCTGGGTAAATAGTTATTGGTGCCTCTCAAGGCACTCAGTGAATGCTCAGAACACTTGGTTAAGATTTACAGACAATGATGGAAAAGTGACTCTTCTCTTCTTCCTCTCTAGTTACAAGTTGTTTCCAAATTGCGTCCCCTCCTTTGGGTTCCGCCATCTGCTGCCTCTCACAGACAGAGTGGACAGCTTCAATGAGGAAGTTCGGAAACAGAGGGTGTCCCGGAACCGAGATGCCCCTGAGGGGGGCTTTGATGCAGTACTCCAGGCAGCCGTCTGCAAGGTAACTTTCCTTTCTGGTCCTGTCCCTGCATGGGGAGGTCAAGGTAGAGAGCGTCAGTGGGTGTTGGTACTTCCTGCAGGAGTCTTTGAGTGCCCCAGCATGTGGCTCCTGACCACTCTGAAGTCAGAGGGTGAGCTCAGTGGAACTTCTGGGAAATCTACAGCAGTCAAATCAGCCGGAGCTCGGGAATGGATTGGGCTGGTCTGTGTCTCTGTGTCAGGGTGTGGTTGTGTGCAATGGAGTACTGTCTGCTAGAAGACAGCTGTCTGCATTTATACATTGGCTTTTTGGTTTATTTTCAGGGGAAAAAAGTAAAGGTCAAGTCATAGGCATAGAAGCTTGTAGAGCTTTCTGGACCAATTTTGGCAAACCTTAGAGATTGCTCTCTTGGGAAACCCAGTTGAAAAAGAATTGTGTGAGGCCGGGCGTGGTGGCTCACGCCTGTAATCCCAGCACTTTGGGAGGCCGAGGCAGGTGGATCACGAGGTCAGGAGTTCAAGGCCAGCCTGGCCAACATAGTGAAACCCTGTCTCTACTGAAAATACAAAAAAATTAGCCGGGCATGGTGACGGGTGCCTGTAATCCCAGCTACTCGGGAGGCTGAGGCAGGAGAATCGCTTGAACCAGGAGGCGGAGGTTGCAGTGAGTGGAGATTGTGCCACTGCACTCCAGCCTGGGCGACAGTGTGAGACTCTGTCTCAAATTTAAAAAAAAAAAAAAGAAAGAAAAAGAATTGTGTGGCATCTTTGGTTGCAATTCTAGTTGTTTTCCTCCTGCTTCTCTGTGATATATGAATCCAGAGGGAGGGCCTAGACTTAGATCAGAAATGAACTCATGCTTCGAGAGGTTCCAATCTTAGCAAAATATATAAATGGAATGTTGGTGATAACATAGTCTTAAAATAATTTTCTACTGTTGAAACAACCCAATAACAATAACAAAAAAAAAACACTCTTAAATTCACTATCATAACACATACTTTAAAAATCTGTGAGTCTCTTCTTAGTCTTTGTGCATACATTTCATATTTTTTCAAAGTGGTCATCAATAGAGTGTGAATAATTGGTAATACTTTCTTGAAAATTCAGGCAGATTCCTCAATAGGTGGGGACTCTTCCATTTGGTGAGGGCAGGGTCAGAGGCTAGAACTCAGTCTAGAGAGCCTGCATATGGCAGCTGCTATTCACTTATTAAGTGATAAGCACTTAATTGCTCACTTACACAGTTTCTGACCTCAGAGCCTGAATCTGGTGTGTCACACAGACTCCTGTTTCCTCTCCACTCAATCCTTGACAAGATGGGAAGAAAACCCCAGTTGTCCTTTCTGAAATAAAAAACCAAAATGGCAGAAGGAAATGGATAAGGAGAAGGTAAAATGTAAAGAAAGCAGCAACAGCCATCTGCCATTCTCTTGATCCCACTGTGGTTCTGCCCATCACAGAGTCTGTGGGCCCCTCCTGGAGAAGAAGGTAGCAGTGGCTTCCTATCCAGGAAGGCTGCAGTGTGGCCTCTTCCCAGCTACTGGCCAGAGCCAAATTGTTTGATTCAGAAGTCCCTGGTGTCTCTTAGCAGTCTGAGAGAGACACATGGAAACATGGTTAGAATGTATTCAGTCCTGAACCTTTCAAATGTTTCACAAAATAGTTTATGAATTTGATTCAGAAAGAAAAATTATATTTTTGACTGACTTTCAGATATTGACTATAGGAGGCGTTTTCTCCACAGACATTCAGCCAAATTCTGCTTCTTGGTAGGGAAAAAAATAGTGCAGAGAAGACATAGGATCCCCCTCATCTCCCCACCTTGAGGATTTTATGGATTTTCTTTTTTTGGAGAGAGAAATTCATCTTTCTCTGGAGAAAGAACCCAATTACAGGCCTAAGCAGTGTCTGAGTATATTTTATTCAATTAGATGAATTGAAAGGGCATGATTGATCACTTGGACCACAGTGGTCTTTGAGAAGCCATTTGATCCAGTCTATGTCTATGGAACCTTCCTGTGCCATCCCTGATGGATGAAATCTTCAACCCTTTGAAAACACAGTATTTCAAGACTCAAGCATTTCAGAGGCGATGCTAGCAGATTTTCTCAGTTCATTGTCTGGACCTGGTGAATTATTGTTGACGGAGAGGCACTTTGTGAGCAAGTTTCAGGCTTATACCTGTTGAAATTTGCTCTTTATTCCTCACCACGACCTTTGCAAAAGGGAATACCTGGAAAGTTAATGATTGCTCAGAATTATGCAGCCAATGTGCCTCCAGCATCTCTCTTTGCCTTTTCTTTTCCATTGTGCTGTCAGTTTATGTTCAGGTGCATACTAAGCAATTTATTTCTCACTTGACATCACCTACTTATAAAACATGTCATCCTTCCTGGCTCACCACAGCCTTATGGTGACAAAAAATTGGAAGTAGTTTATGGACTACTTTTGGATGAAAGACTACGCAACAGTCATACTACTTAAAATATTTAATGACTTGAGGCTGGGCGCGGTGGCTCACGCCTGTAATCCTAGCACTTTGAGAGGCTGAGGCGGGCAGATCATGAGGTCAGGAGATCGAGACCATCCTGGCTAACGCGGTGAAACCCCGTCTCTACTAAAAATACAAAAAATTAGCCGGGCGTGGTGGCAGGCGCCTGTAGTCCCAGCTACTCGGGAGGCTGAGGCAGGAGAATGGTGTGAACCCCGGAGGCGGAGCTTTCAGTGAACCGAGATCATGCCACTGCACTCCAGCCTGGGCAACAGAGCAAGACTCTGTCTCAAAAAAAAAAAAATTTTAATGACTTGAATAATATGTAAGGTATTAGTATCAGATGGCTTTAATAGTAACTTTGCTCTCTCTTGGCTCCCTCTTCTAGGAAAAATTGTCCTTAGGGAAGATACAACCCAATGTTTTATGTTTTAAGAATTTCCAGAATAATATGTAAGATAAATTAAGATTGGCATGGGAAGCAGGTTATAAAACAATATGGACAGTATACTTCTGTTTTGCAAACAAAAGAAAGAAAAAATGTGGAAAAGATTGGAAATGGAACAAAATGGTAACAGTGGTTGTCTCAGGTGACAAGATTATATTTTTCTGATAGGTGATAGGCTTATTTTCTTCTTTGGCTTTTTGTTTAATATTTACCTAAATTTCCACAGTGAATAAGTATGATTTCTTTTTTTTTTTTTTTATTCTGGAACAGTTTCAGAATAAAGAATAGTGAAATGAAACCCCATGTACTCATTGTTCGTCTTTAATGATTACTAACTCATGACCAGTCTTGTTGCATTTGTATTCCCAACCACACCCATATTTGAAGCAGATCTTGGCTATCATTTGTAAGTCCTAAGTATCCCTTACTTTGTTTACTGAATGCTGTGTCTCCTCCTGATCTGGCCAGATTAAAGGCCCTTCCACTGAATCCTGCAAACAGTGGAACAGAGGGAGAAGGCCTGGAATCTTGTGCAGTTGGCTCTGTGCGTCATAGGGGCTGGAGTTGGCCAGGCAATTCCCCGGCAGCGCTGCACGCTCTACTTCCCCTGACCCTGTGCCCTGGAGATGGAGCTGATAACAGGCCTATCTCCCAGCGCCACAGGGAGCTCTTTGTCCTGGTTTTATTCTCACTCTGGTTTTATTCTCATTCTTGTTTCCCTGAATGGACTGTTAGTTATCAACTTGTGGGATTTAGGGGTATGGAATATTCACATGTCTGACTTTAAATCCACCTCTGTGGCCTGCTCTTGAAAGATGTTCTTTGCAAAAAGAAGGAAACTACCTGTTTCTATTTAGGATTCATTCCATTTATGATAAGGACCCTGTTTCTATGAATGGAGGTTTTGAGTTGCTTTATTTATCCCCTGCAGGTCACATTGCTGTGAGAGGCCATCTAACAGCATCCACAGCTAAGGGATGCTTCTGTCGTCAAGGCGGGCATTTTTTCTAATGCACTGTTCCTGGCTGGGTTGGAGTTGGAGAATGCCACTGCCTGTAATTTCTTATCTTTACCCAGAGCCTATGATTGAACCTGTTTATACTTTTTTATGGTCAGAATAATGGTTTCTCTGCCAGGACCTTCTAGAAGTTGACTCTAAGTTGTTTGTTCTGAAATTGTGCAGGCGGAAGTGTGATGTGTGGTTCAGACTGGAAATATGGCTGCTTTCCTCTTCTCTCAAAACAGGGCACGCCCTTGGCCTAGGGAGGACAGAGGGTGAGCAGTTGCCTGGAAGCTCTGGGTCCCAAGTTGTCAGTTATCACTTTGCTCTTCTTCATGGCTCTCAGGTTAAAGAAGTTACTTGTACATTTGAGCTTGGCTGGGTACATGCTGGCTGCACAGTATTCTATGTGCTGCTTTTTTTCGTCAGCCAGAAAATAAATCAGTGCAACCCAATGCGTTTCCCTGTTTGTCTCCACTGCTAGAGCCCTGGCACTTATCCTTTGTATTCTTTAGACAGAGTTTCTGTTTTAATCCTGATTCTTTTAATTTTGCCTGTGTTCAATTTTTAAAGCATTTATTTCCTCTCAAAAATAGTTGGATGAGTAAGTCTTAAAGCAAACAAGGTAAATTTATGTATTGAATAAAATTTTTTTGGCAGGAATTGAGACCTTTATTCTTCCCTGGCCAGAATATCTTATCTAAAATGAAGACCACAGCCTCAGAGGAGCCGTGATTCTTGTTGGAGGATCCTTACCAGAATCCTACAGTATATTGGTAGGACTCTGATAAGGGTTGTTCCCATTTTACAGGGGTGGAAACTGAGTATCACAGGGACTAATTGCATTTAGTAAGGAGTAGAACCAGAATGTGAACCAGTTCTGTTGATTTGAAATTCTGTGCCCTTTTTATTACTCAGTGACTGTGTGCTCTGGGAAGTAACAATAATGCACTATTGAGTAAGGGGCACTGCATTTATTTATTTAAAACAATTTTTTTTTCTTTTTCTTTTTTTTTTGAAAGGAGATCTCATTCTATCGCCCAGGCTGGAGTGCTGTGGTGTTATCATGGCTCACTGCAACCTTGCCCAGCTAATTTTTTTGTATTTTTAGTAAAGACATGGTTTGTCCATGTTGGCCAGGCTGGTCTTGAACTTCTGGGCTCAAGTGATCTGCCCACCTCAGCCTCCCAAAATGCTGGGATTATAGGTGTGAGCCACTGCACACAGCCTGTTGAATTTTTTTTTTTTTAATAATACATTCCAAACCTAGGAAGGCACTGAATTTAGAGTCATGTTTTCCTTACTCAAGCTCTGCCTCTTCTGTTATCGGCTGCCTCCATGGAAGCCAGTTGACTTCTCCAGGCCTCAGAGAGCACATCTGGGAGATGCAGGGAGGCATGGGACTGGAGGGAGGTGCTCCAGGTTGCCTTCCATCTGTGCCAGCCAGTGCCACTTCTCGCAGAGGACTTGGTCACAGCCCTGTCTCCTTTGCTCAAGGCCTTTGATTTTGCTTTTTTGTCTCTTCTGGCTCAGGCTTAAGCCTCAGACCCAGTAGAGGCTGCTGCAGACACCTGTAAAATGTGGAAAATTCCCCAGTCCCAGAGTCAGGCACAACTTTGTCAGGGTTTCCTCTTGCTCCCTCCCAGCTCCCAGTTCCTGCAGAATTGACTCGCTTTCTTTTGACTTATTGCCTGATTTCTTTTAGACCTCAGACTTGTGTCACTTTTCCAAGCATGAGTTGAGAAATACAGGAAATTGCCTTTCTTTCCTCAAGGAAGGCATCCCCCCACTCCTCAAACCTCTGCACCACCTGAAGAGAGGGACCCGCCACATGTTCTGCTTCCCAGCTGTCTGCGTTGTCTGTCTCAGCATGTGTGAGCTGCTTCTGCTAGCAGATCGCACCACAGGTTTCCGGGGCTTGATCCAGCGCCAGGCTGCCTGCTCTTCCTGTGCTGCCGTGTCTTTGGGGAAGCACCATTAAAGTATTGGATTTCTCTGGGCATTGCGCATGCAGGTGTGCAGACCCTCTGCCCTGTAGGGTTGTTGTCAGACAGGTGTGGCGCAGCTTCCCCTTGGCTTTCTATGTGGCAGACGGCAGTGGTTTCATGTGCACTTCTGAATCCTTCTACTGTTTTGGTCTCTGAGGCGACATCCCAAGTGCAGGACTCCGTGGTTTCCTGGCTCTGCCTTCTGCTGTGAGCTGTGTTGTGGGCTCCGCAGCCCCACCGACAGCTGCTGTTCTGGGTTGAGCGGTGGGAACTGGCTGAGTCATAACTCAGTATCGTGAACAGGGCACGTGGGAGAGTTTGCGTTTCTTTTTGCCCTCTAGTGTAAACAAGTCACGTGCCTGCCTTGCACCTGTGCTTAGGAGGTGTCTACACGTGCTGGTGGCTCCCTTCACTGACCAAGGCAGGGAATAATCATCCTGGGGAAAGGGTAGGAGGCCCCTTTGATGGCTGGGGCTCTGTTTTCATACCAGGTGAGAATGTCAATTTTTTATTTTAAGTCAGAGGCTCCTTCTTGCTTGGAATGTCCACTGAGCAAAGATGAAAGGAGACAGGAATTTGCTCTTGGGCTCCTGTTGCAAGGCTCTCTGCCTGTGGCCTCTACCTGTGGCCTCTGCATTCCAGCCACAGTGACCTGGAGTGCGTTACTCTGACTCAGGCAAGGCCTTTGCATGTGTTGTTTCCTCTGTTTGGATACTCCATTCCTGTATTCCTGGTTTTCTTTGATACTACTTCCCTGTATTCCTGGTTTGCTTGCTTGCTTCCTTCCTTCCTTCTTTCCTCCCTCCCCTCCCTCCCCTTCCTCCTGTCCGTCCTTCCCTCCCTCCCTCCCTCCCCATCCTTCCCTTCTCTCTCTCTCTTTCCTTCCTTCTTTCCTTCCTTCCTTCCTCCCTCCCTCCCCCCGCTCCCTCCCCTCCCTCCCCTTCCTCGCCTCCCTCCTTCCTTCCCTCCTCTCCCTCCCTCCCTTCCCATCCTTCCCTTCTTTCTCTCTCTCTTTCCTTCCTTCCTTCCTTCTTTCTTTCTTTGTTTCCTTCTTTCTTTCTTTCTTTCAGTAGATTTTATTTTTTATAGCAGTTTTAGGTTCATAGCAAAAATGAATAGAAAATAAAGAATTCCCACAACTTCCCTCTGACCACTGCGCACACAACCTCCCCCACCATCAGCATTCCACATCAGTGTGGTATATTTGTTACAATCAGTGACCCAGTCAGTGTTGACACATCATTATCAACCAGAGTCCATAGTTCACATTAGGGTTCACTCTTGGTTTGTACAGTTCTGTGGGTTTTAACAAATGTACGACAACAGGTAGCCACCATTAAATATCACACAGAGTAGCTTCCCTGCCCCGGAAGTCCCTGTGCTCCACTTGTCCATTCCTGCTTCCTCCCCCGGAATCTGTTTTCCTTTTAATGTCTAACCTGTGCCTGTTTGTGTTTCAGATTTCAGCTTCACTGTCTGTTTGTCAGAGAAGCCCTCCCTGGTGGACTTCCCTGAGTAGGTCAGGATGCCCTGGCTCCAGGCAAGCCCTTAATCACTTCTGTCCTAGTTATCATCTTATTTTTATTTATTTGAAGCATTCCTGGAATGCCTGCCTCCCTTTGAGATAGTAAACTCCCTGAAGGCAGGGACTATGTCTTTTTTCTTATGACTATATTCCCAGCACCAGACACTGCTGGGCACATAACAGATGCTTGTTAAACATCTGGGAACAAAGGCTTCATTCTCACAGGTGCCTTTATGCTTCTGAAGTTCAGGAATACCAGGTTCTTCTGGCCCCAAGCTTGTCCCATCCTGGATGGGACTTCCACCCTCCCATCCACCAGGCTGCCTCCATGGAATTTACAGTGCTTCATGCAAATTCATTAAAGCAGAACCAGAAGTACTATTACTTGGTAATACTTTTCCATTCAGAAAGCATTTATTGGCTGTCCAATAAATGCTCAGTGGCAGGTATGGTGGAGAAAATTAAAGATAGATGAGAAGTCTCTATCCTCTGGGATTTGATTTGAGCCTGCAGATCCATTAGAAGGGAAATAAAACAACCTGTTTGGAAACATTAGATTGAACCATATAAAATTATTGATATTTATTGATGATATTTGTTATTTGCCTATTGATGTTTTTCCTGCAAAAATGGAAAATTCATATGGTTCAACCTTCTTCATTCCAAAATGTTCTATAATTCAGATTGGACTGTGTCACAGAGTACAGATTAGAAATGTCATCCTGCACATTGCTGGGATTTGAGCTCAAGAGGAATGTCTGTATCCTGAGTCATAGGCCAAGATTTCTTTTTCCCAAGGAAAGAAATGCTACACTTTTGGCCTCATTAAGTTTAGCCACAGAACAGATTTTTTTAAAAAAGATATTTCATTGCAAACAGTGGATGGAAGTAGGAAAAACAAACTAAAAAGAATGTGTATATTGTTTTAAAGGGATGGAAATATGCCTGAATGTCAACATGATTCGGGAAACCAATCACAGAGACCCTCTAACCTTGTTTTCCCTTATGTGCTGTGGAGACTCCTCTGTCCCCAAGCTCAGATCTACTGTGGGAGCTGCCCACTGGCTGCCCAGGTCAGTCCCCTTTCCTTCCTCATTCCTGCCTTGAAACCTGTCCCCTCTTCCTCAGTGCTTGCCTGAAAGGTTAATGGACAGTGTTTTGTTATTACATTTGAAAACGTCTTGAGTACTTACTGTGTACAAGACGTCCTGTTAGGTGCTGTGGGGAATGCAGAGTTGAAGTAGCCGTGATGCCTGTCTCCATGAGCATCACTCTAGTTGTAGGACTGATGTATGTGTAGGATCTAAGGCACAGCCAGAGAACAGACTCTGTGGAAGGACTGGCTCCTTCAGACCCGTGGTTCAGTTAGAGTATTCTTCTCTCTCAAGGGGTCATCCTGGTCTCTTGCTTCCTGGTGAGGTGCTGGTGCTAATGATGCTGTTGATCACCACTGGCTGAGTGCTTTTGAGAGCCAGGCTCTGTACCAGGCATTTAACAGGGTTTCTTTCACATACTCCTTTGAAGGTGGCTTTACTATCTCCTTTGATGAGGAAACAAGCCTAGAAAGGTGAAGTAACTTCCCCAAAGTTTTACAGCCACAAAAGGCAGCACCAGAATTGGAAACCTTATCTACCTGCTGGTATGGCTTAACCTTGACATTAGAGTATCTGCCATCTTTTGAAGTCACACAGGAACACAGAAGTGGGAAGAGTGTGCTTCCAAAGAGAGCACAGTCCCAGTCTATGGAACCATCACAATTACCCACATGACCCAGTTTGCCAACTGTAGAATGGTACTGAAACAGTCCCAGGGGAAGAAAGTTGCATGTGCCACTCTTTTCTGGAGCTAAGAGTTTCCTCTCTATCAGAAACAGTTATCATGTGACTCTATCAGCCCTCAGGATTTTCCAGGGAGGCCACTGGTACTGTCCCAAGGTTAGCATGCTGATGGATATGTGAAATGCTTATCTTTGCCTCTGGCTTCCCTGTCTGTAAAATGGAAACTCTGATATCTGCCTTCTCATTCCTAATTTGGAGGGTGTCTCAGACCCATCGGCTCTTCTCCCTTGGGCTTGCTCAGATAGCACTGAGGCACAATGCTGCTTTTCACGTGGTGGATCTTTTCCAGCAGAGAGAGTACATGTGCCTGGTGACTCTTCTGTGATAACTGGGGCCCCTGGGCTGCGTTGATAACAGTCTTGAGGGCCTCTTCATTTGGACAATTGTTAATTTTAATTAGGCAGATTGACCTCGGGATCAGAGAACCTAGAAATTTAAAGCTACAGTCTCTGGGATGGCATCTTTATTCCAGAACTCCCTTGTGTTTGAACTAGCAAGCCAAGCTCAGTGAGCCAGCCCATGTTCAGGCAGGCCCCACTTGTGTTTTCCGACAGCTGAGTGGGACGTTGGCTTTCCTCAGATTCCCAAGAATTGGTGGTCTGGGCCTTCCCCTGCACCTTCCCACGGGGCGTCCTTGAATCTGCCTGTCTCACTTGTCATGCTCTGCCATTGTCCATTTGCGTAAATAAGTTACTATGAAATGGACCTGGGGATCCCCAGGCTTAACATGAGCCAGTAGGAAGATTCAGCTGCCAAACACAGGCCTCATGCTCCAGGTCCAATTCAGAGCCCACAGGCCACTTTTCCAGCCTAGTTCCTCTGTGCAGGTCAGACCACATCCAGGGAACCATGCCTGGCCTGCCTCTGGGAGCTGTGTTTAAGACAGACATTGACAGCGAGAGAGCAGAGGGGATAAGTGGGTGGTGCCGGGCATGGGAACCACATCCTCAGAGGAGAGACACCATAGGAAGTAGCATGGTAACTGACCTCAGATATCATTATAAAAGAGGGAATAGACCCTTTTGGCTATTCCAGGGGATGTACTAGGGTAGCCACAGGAAAGCAGGTTGGAGTCCAATGTAAGGAAGAATTTTCTTGTTTTTTTGTTGTTGTTGTTGTTGTTCGTTTGAGATGGAGTTGTGCTCTGTCACCCAGGCTGGAGTTCAGTGGTGTGATCTCAGCTCACTGCAACCTCTGCCTCCTGGGTTCAAGCAATTCTCTTGCCTCAGCCTCCCAAGTAGCTAGGATTACAGGCACGTGCCACCACGCCTGGCTAACTTTTGTGTTTTTAGTAGAGACGGGATTTCATCATGTTGGCCAGGCCGGTCTCAAACTCCTGACCTCAGGTAATGCATCTGCCTTGGCCTCCCAAAGGGCTAGGATTACAGGCATGAGCCACCGTGCCCGGCCAAGGAAGAATTTTCTATCAAGGAGAGCTGCTTAGCAGTGTGGCAGTGAGTATGTGTGTGGGCCCCATACCCAGGTGGCAGATGCTGGAGGAAAGATCCCTGCACTGGATGGGAGGCTGTACAAGAACCTCTGAGGTTCCTTCCAGAATTCAGGTGCTACATGTTTTCTCTGTTTTTCTACACAGTCATCCATTGGTGCTTTTGTCCTGTTGTAGCCCCTTGGAGCCTGTCTTCTCTGGTTCTCAGCAGTGCACCCTCTAAGCTGCCCCTGTATTTGGCCACAGTGACCATGAACTCTGCTATACATGTTCATTTTATTTGCCAAGTGCAGCTGACTTTGAGCTGACTTCTTCCTGGCTCCTGTTGGCTTCCCATGGAGCCACCTTACCATATGGGTGAAAGTCAGGTGGGACCGAGACCAGGGAAAAACTGTGGAGGGTGGGGCAGAGAAGGATGGAAGCTGTTCTTGGTTCTCTGTGTGAGCTTCCTTTTTTGTCAGACCTGTAGCCAGAGTGTGACTCCTTTCAGCCTTAAGAAGCCAAATTGCTCCACAGGCTGGAAGCTTGCGTCCTCAAACTAGTGAAACCAGGTCCTTTACTCCCTAACCATTTGTTTCTCTCTCTGCCAGTCCCTGTTCTCTGGGGCCAGATGTTGGAAGTGAACAAGCCAGCGAGTCTGTCTTCACTCCTGGGAGGAGTCCATTTTTGTTAATTTTCTCAGTGACTGGGAAGGGCTGGTCTTCCATCTCATTCCTGCTTCCCCTTTTCATGGATGACTGAGAGTGAGGTCAGATTTTAAGGAACTGAGAGGAGGAAATAGGTCTGCTGGTCTTAAAAGAGAGAGGCGAGTGATGAGAGTTTGGTGGCGTCGCAGGGTGAAGAGAAGGCTTGTTATTAGTGGGCCATGAACATATTTGTAGGCACATGGAAGGGACCAGAGGAGACAGTGACAATGGAATAAATTCTCCAAAGAGGGTGGGGTTTGCAGGGCTGTGTTTCCTCAAGGAGGGAGGAGCACTTCTTCCCTTGGGATGGTGAGATCAGAGCGAGGCTGGGAGGACATGCCAGTTTGTTTCAGACGGAGAGGAGAGCACTGGCTGAAAGGCATCCTAGGGCCTAGGACCAGAACTGTGAGATCCTGGGAATAGGTGAAGGGAGAAGTCCTTTTACCTATCTCTGTGGGTGACGAAACAAGTGAGGTCGTTCCCTCGCATGAGTGTGGAAGCAGGAGTTGGAAATAGACCTCGTGGTGAATTTGACAGTGAACAAAGAAAAGTGACAGGACTCGCAGCCCTGACCGGATGCCTGGCTTCATGCATCTGCGTCCAGTGCGTTTCCGCCCCACGCGCTCCTAACGCTTTCATCTGAGGCTGACCTCTGTCATGTTTAGCGAAATTGGTTTTGTTTACATTTTGGCTTTACTTAAAGACATAGAGAAAAGTTCAGCTAAATAAATAGGTCTTCTCCTTCTTTTAAAAACTATTTATAAAAAGAGAATATATTCAACATAAAAAATTAGAAAATGTAGATAAGCAGAAAGGAAATAAGCATCACCCATAATTCTATTAATATAAAGATAAGATGATGTTTTTCTGAATTATAGATATAAGTGACAGTTTTTCAACTCCGTGGAAATACTATGATGATAACTATTAATTACTATTGATCCCATACCAGATACTGAATGGGGTGCTCAATGTGTATCATCTTCTTTAATTCTCTCAACAACCCTATTTTATCAATACTATTATTACCTCCCTCTTATAAACAAGGAAGCTGAGATAGGGAAAGATTAAGTAAGTTGTCTAAGATCACAAAAACAAGATAAGGGAGACATGGGACCGAAATCAGATTAGCCAGATACCTGAGCCCATGCACCTAAATTCTGTGTGAATACTGCTATTAAATAAAAAAGTATTTGGGCCCAGTGTGGTGGCGCATGCGTGTAATCCCAGCACTTTGGGAGGCCAGCACTGCGATGGCTTGAGCCTAGGAGTTCAAGACCAGCCTGAGCATCGAAGTATAATTGATGTACAATGAGCTACACATATTGAAAGTGTACAGTTTAACAAATTTTGACATTTATGTACACTCACGAAAGCAACTCTGCGATCAAGGTAACAAACATATCCTTCACCCCTAAAAGTGTATTTGTGCCCCTTTATCATCATTTCTTCCTCTTCTCCCTCCTGCCTCCCTTACCCCAGGCAATGAATTTGCTTTCTGTCACTACACACTAGACTGCATTTACTCAAATTTCATATGCCTAGTATACACTCTTTTTTTGCCTGCCTTATTTCCCTTAGCAGTTATTTTGAGATTCATTCACGCCGTTAGTGTATCCATTCATTCCTTTTGTTGCTGAGTAGTATTCCATCGCATAGATATGCAACAGTTTATGTATCCATTCATCTGTTAATGGACATTAGTTTTTGCCTGTTATGAGAGAGCTGCTGTAAATGTTCATGTTCATGTCTTTGTATGGACGTATGCTTTCATTTCCCTTGGGTCAGTACCCAGGAGTGGGATGGTTGGGTCATATGGTAGGTCTTTAACTTTTTAAGAAACTGCCAAACTGTTTTCCAAAGTTTCACGCACGTCCCTGTGAAGAGACCACCAAACAGGCTTTGCGCGAACAATAAAGCTTTTTAATCACCTGGGTGCAGGCAGGCTGAGTCTGAAAAGAGAGTCAGCGAAGGGAGCTGGCGGCGGGGGCGTTGGGGGGGTGCTGTTTTATAAGATTTGGGTAGGTAGTGGAAAATTACAGTCAAAGGGGGTTGTTCTCTGGCTGGCAGGGGTGGGGGTCACAAGGTGCTCAGTGGGGGAGCTTTTGAGCCAGGATGAGCGAGGAGAAGGAATTTCACAAGGTAATGTCATCAGTTAAGGCAGGGACCGGCCATTTTCACTTTTGTGGTGGAATGTCATCAGTTCAGGCAGGAACAGGCCATTTTCACTTCTTTTGTGATTCTTCACTTGCTGCGGGCCATCTGGATGTATACGTGCAGGTCACAGGGGATACGATGGCTTAGCTTGGGCTCAGAGGCCTGACACAAAGAACATTTATCATTTTACATTCCTACCAGCAGGGCGTGAGGGTTCCGGTCTCTACATATCTTTATCAACATTTGATGTGGTCAGTCTTAAATTTTAGATACTGTAAAGGCATGTGGTAGGATCTTATTGTAGTTTTGAATTAATACAAGGCTTTTAAATTGTTTAGCATGCAATAATTTATATTCCCTGTAACAGTTATATAGCTTCACATATCAATTAGTAAAAGGAGAAGAGAAGAAATGTAAAAATTATTACTGGTCCTGGAATAATAATTACAAGTTCCCTTTATAGTCCCTTTTGTGTGTTAACTATAATACTTTTTAATACATCCTGTCTAAACCTAGCAGCAGCTCTGCAAAGCAGGCTTATTTCCATTTTACAGATGAAGAACTGAGGCTGAGGAGGTGAAGTGACTGACTGAGGGGCCCACAGTTAGAACAGAGCAAAGATTTGACCTCAGAATCTGTTCCAAAGCTGATGTACTCTGGCCCTCATGCTATATTCCATTTGTAGTTCATTGTTTTTTTTTGTTTTGTTTTGTTGTTTTGTGTTTCAATCCACTTTCCCACTTTTGCTTCCTTCCCCAAACGTGGAATACAGAACTCAAGCCTTCAAAACAGCTAGCTCTGCCAGCCAACCCAACAATAAGGGAAATTATTTTTAATGTAAATACTCTGTGGAGTCACCACTTGTAAAGCCTCCAAGCCTGAAAGCCTGGGTGATGAACGAGCATGTCCTGACTCATTCGCAGCAGCCCAACCTCTGGGCCAAGTTTGTTAACACCATTTACATAACAAGAGCCCACTTCACAGAAAACAGAATTATTATTCTTATGCTGAGCCATCCTTCACTTGTGGAGCTATTTCCATTTTAGATGCAACCTTCCATTCAACAAACATTTATTTTGGATCCAGCAGCCACAAGTTGAGAGCCCATCATGAACCAGGCACGTTTATGAATTATCCCATTTATTACATGCACAGTTCTTCTCTGTATACGAATGTGGGCAAGAGTTTGGTCATCTGAATCTGGCTTCTCTGGCCCTTGCTAGTTGATGGGCTGGTCACTTCATCTCTCTGAACACCAGTTTCCTTACCTATGAGATTGCAATATATTACCTATGTCACAAAGGTTGCAGTGAAGATTAAGTGGAATAATGGAAGTGCACAATACATGTTTTATATTATTATTCCTGTTCTACTGATAAGAAAAAAGCTTTTGAGGTGTTGAATAGTTGGCTGAAACTGCACAGGTAAGTAGGGGCAGCAAGAAAATTCACATGCTCATCAGAAGGCACCCGAATTCCACATTGTTCTGTCTTCTTACTGCCACCCCACTTTGTGTCCCCACAAGACCCTCAAGAAGCTGGCGTGGAGGAACTGGAGACTGAAGAAGTTAAATGACAGAGCCACATTCAGAGCCCAGTTTTGCAGAAGTTGTGCCCGCCTATTAAAGACAACTTGGAAAATAATGGGAAAACAAAAAATTGTCTATAACTTTAACCCCAGTCCCAACCACAACCACATTATGGGGTATTTTGTTCTCTTAATGGAGAGTTATGCTTGTTTCTTAAGTAGTTTGTAATCACACTATAACTATAGTGCTGAATTCTTTGTTTTCATCTTATATTGTAGATATTTACATATAATTTTATCCTTTCTATGAATAATTTCTGATGGCTGTAGAGGAGATATCTGAGTTTATTTACCTTTTCCAGCACAGTAGGATATTCATGCCTTTCCCTTTTTCTCACTATTAATAAAAATACTGTTGCATATATTTCAGAATACTTCTTGTGGATAGATTCCCCTGAAGTAGAATCACTGAGTCAAGGATAATTTACACAGAGTAAAATTGACCCTTTTTAGGTATAAAGTCTTATAGCCACCCCCACAATTGAGATATGGATTATTTCCATCACCCCGGAAAGTTTCCCAGCATGCCTTTGTCATCCATCTCCTCCCATGACCCTAAGCCACTTTGGCGACTACTGATCTGTTTTCTGTACCTGTATTTTTTTCTTTTTCTGGATACCATATGAATGGAATTAGCCTTTTGAGTCTGGCTTTTTGCCCTTAACGTAATGCTTTGAGATTCATCCATGTTGTGGTGTGTTATCAGTAGTTTGTTCCTTTTTATTGCAGTGTAGTATTTAATTGTATGGATGTATTATGATGTGTCTGTTGATTACTGATGGACATTTGGGTTGTTTCTAGTTTATGATGATTGCAAATAACATTTTTATAAATACTTGCATATAGGTTTTTATTTGAGCATAAAGTTTAATTTCTTTTGGGTAAATACCAAAGAGTGGAATTGCTGGATTGATAGTAAGTGTATATGTAACTTTGTAAGAATCTGTCAAACTGTTTTCCAGAGTTGGTGAAACATTTTGTATTCTCTTAGGCAATTATGAGAGTTCTAATCTTTCCACTTTTTTTTTTTTTTTTTTTGAGACGGAGTCTCGCTCTGTTGCCCAGGCTGGAGTGCAGTGGCATGATCTTGGCTCACTGCAAACTGTGCCTCCCAGGTTCACGCCATTCTCCTGCCTTAGCCTCCCGAGTAGCTGGGATTACAGGCACCCACCACCACGCCCAGCTAATTTTTTGTATTTTAGTAGAGACGGGGTTTCACCGTGTTAGCCAGGATGGTCTCGATCTTCTGACCTCGTGATCCACCCACCTCGGCCTCCCAAAGTGCTGGGATTACAGGCATGAGCCACCGCGCCAGGCCTCGTTCCACATTTTTATCAGCACTTGATACTGTCAGAGTTTGTTTGTTGGTTTGCTATTCAAATACGGATCTAATGGCTATCTCGCTGTGGTTCAAATTTGCATTTCCTTAATGACTAATGATGTTGAGAACCCTTTTGTGTGCTTGTTTCCACCCATATCTCTTCTTTGGTGAATTGTCTGTGCAAATCTTTTGACCACTTTTTAAATTCAGTTGTTTGGGTTTTTTCTTAGTGACTAATGACAGTTCTTTATATATTCTGTAAACAAATCCTTTATCAGATTTTAATTTTTTCAAATATTTTCTCCCAGTCTGTGCCCTGTCATTTCATTTTCTCCACAGTATTTTTCAAAGAAGGTTTTGAACAAATAAGTTTTTGTTTTGATGAAGCCCAGTTCATCAACTTTTTATCCTATGAATCATCTTATCTAAGAAATCTTTGCCTATGTCACAGTCACAAAGATTTTCTCCTAGGTTTCCTTCAGAAGTTTTATAGCTTTAGGTCTACGTTTAGGTCAATGATCCACTTTGAGTTAATTTTTGTGTGTGATGAGACATATGGGTTGAACTTCATTTTTTTTGCATATGAATATCCAGTTCCAGTATTTGCTGCTGAATTGACTAGATATGTGTGGATCTATTTTTGCTCTATCTATCCCAGTCCACTGATCTATGCATTCTGTCATTGCATATATTTTGTCATGACCATAGCCTTGATTACTGTAGCTTTGTAATAAGTCTTGACCTAAGATACGAAGTCCTCCAACTTTGTTCTTTTTCAAAATTGTTTTGCTAGTTTCCATTGCTTACAATTTCATATAAATATTATAATCAGCTTGTCATTTTCTCAAAAAGGCCTTCTAGGCTTTTGATTGTGATTGTGTCAAATCTATAAACCAATTTGCAGAGAGATGGCGTCTCAACACCATCGGCTCTTCCAATCCTGAAATGATATCTCTGTCCATTTATTTAGGTTTCTGATTTTCCTTAAGGTTCTTAATACAATTTGTCAAATTAAAAGTTGGTTTTCTGCTTCCTTGCTAGGGTGTTGAGCACATGGCTGTGCCCTTTTGGATAACAGATTCACATGTTTCCTGCAAAAAACTCTACTAGTTTATACTTTCTCTCTATTGTATTTTATTTCCCAAGCATCTGGCTCCCTCTTTTCCACAATCCATGGCTTATAATGCATTGCCTTATTTATTTAATAGGTTTTAACTCTTTATCAAAATGTACACATCAAAAACTATAGTTATATATATAGTTTATATATATTTATATATAGTTTATATATATACTATACATCTCGATAAATGCTCATAAGGTCAAGAAACAGAACATCACCAGCACCTTGAAAGCCTCTTTGTGACCCCTTCCAATCCTGACAGCAAGGAGAACCACTATTCCAACTCCTACCCATAAGTAGTTTTGTTATGGCTTAGCATTTCATTGCAGTAAGGGACCTTCTAGGCTTCTCACTCCAGGTTCCTAAAATGTGTCTGGCCTCTTCACTGTGCTCCTTTCCCCTCTGAGCTTCTGTTAGCGCCTAGAATGCCCACTTCCTCTTCTGCCTTCTCCCTTCTTATTCCTTCTTTCAGCTTCCTTTAATTTTTTTAAAATTATTTGTTTTTATTTTTATTTATTTATTTTTTTACAGACAGGATCTTGCTCTGTTGCCCAGGCTGGAGCACAGTGGCATGATCATAGCTCACTGCAGTCTCAAACTCCTGGGCTCAAGTGATCCTCCTGCCTTGGCCACCTGAATAGTTGGGATGACAGGTGCACATCTCCATGGCTGGCTAATTTTTTAATATTTTTTGTAGAGATGGGGTCTCCCTATGTTGCCTAGGCTGGTCTTGAACTCCTGGCCTCATGCCGTCCTCTCACCTCAGCCTCCCAAAGTGTTGGGATTCTAGGTGTGAGCCATCCCACCCTCTTTCAGCTTCCTTGAAGTGTCCTCCTCATTTTTTCCAGCTCAGTTTAAGTTTCGTCTGCGCTGGGAAGCCTCTCCCTCCTCCTCCTCTCCCTGGCTTCCATTAGCATTGGACTTTCCTTCATTAACACTCCTGTCATGGTGTATTGAAGTTGCTGTTTCCATTTGACTATAAGCTCTTTGAGGTCTGGAACTAGCTTTTCTGTGGACCCAGTGCCTTCTGTGGGGCCTGGCATGCAGTAAGAGATCAGTGATTGAATGCTGGATGAATATTGAGTGTCTAGGAAACTGATTCTCCAAAAGGCTAATCCCTTTGTTCACTGTAGGTCTCCTGGCTGTCAGTCCTCACTGGCTTCTTTTCAAACTTCTTTTCCTCCTCATGTTGGCGGGCTCTTTTGTGATTTATTTATTTTTTATTTCCATGCCGCCTCTGGAGCAAGTGAGAAAATATCATAGCTCTTTTGGCTGTTTTATCCACCATTATGATGATAAGTAAGAGAGGATGATACCCTCTACTCTTCATCTGTCGTAAGAGAGCAATAGCTTTTAACCTGTAAGGTCTGTGAATCCAGTCTCCTATTTCAGTAGCAAGTGTGCAGGTATAGAAGACTCTCAGCAGTGTTTAAATCCTTCATTTATTCATGCTGCTACCGACGCATTTGGGGATGCCCGTTCACCATTACTATGAAGGCGACCATATCCCAGTGTTTCTTGCTCTGTATCAAGGTCTAGCTGCTCCTAAAAATGATGACTGGGAGTGTTTTTGTGTAGAGTTGGCACCACAGTGGCAGAGTATGAAAAATGTAGAGTCCTTCCTTTCCAATACAGACTGTATTCAGCTGTGCCTCCATCTGAATTCTGGATAAATTTCAGATAGTGGAGCAGAAAGGGAGAAAAGGGATCTGATTGACTTTAACTACCAATGTGGCTCAAATAACAATTGGAATGGTTTATATCTACCAGAATAGACGGCAGGTTTTACAAACCCTCAAAAGACAGACCCATCTATTGGTCATTTGAGTGCTCTGTTCTGATTGACTCAGGTCTAATGGGGGGACTTAACAATCTTAACCATCATCTTAGACTAGCTAGCCCAGCCAACCAGGGGATGTTGTTGGGGGAAAGGTTAAAAGTTGTTCTGGGGAAGGAAGAATAGCTGAGGCCAAAAGGGGAAGCATCCAGGAGGAGCAGCTCTCAGGGGTCATCAGTGAAAGGAGCAGAGAAGAGTATGATGAGCTGGAGGGAGGGGGTTTCAGGTGCATTGGCCAAAGTGGGCAAAGACTTGGACATTTGTCTGTGTGCATCTGGGCTTCCCCAGTCCAGGCTGCGTCTCTTCGGAGCCTCTGTGGAATCCCTCCCCAGTGGTTTTGTGAGTGTGCCCCAGGTACACATGGCAAGGGGAATGCCTCTGATTCAGGCCGTGACTCCTGGAGAGGGGCCAGTGCCCTGCATGACCAGGGCAGGACTGGGCAGAAAGACTGGTGTACCCATCCACCTTCTGTCCTTCAGGAGAAGATTGGCTGGCGAAAGGATGCACTGCATTTGCTGGTGTTCACAACAGATGATGTGCCCCACATCGCATTGGATGGAAAATTGGGAGGCCTGGTGCAGCCACACGATGGCCAGTGCCACCTGAACGAGGCCAACGAGTACACTGCATCCAACCAGATGGTGAGTGCCGGGAACCAGATCCCCCCTCCCTGTTGCCTCTCTTGTGACCCTGCCCGTGGTCTTAGTACTTGCCCAGCCTTGAAACCTTCCTCTGGCCCTCAGTATTCACTGGCTTTCTGATCCCTTCTTGGGGTTGGGTTTCATTATTCAGTCTTCTCCAACTGGGTTTCCGGAACTCCTAATTGACTTACAACATTTCTCAGGGATTTCTGTAGCTGGTTCATCTTTCTGTCAATGTGCGTCTAAATGGGAAGTGTTTGGTTGGGATACGGGTGGCCCAGGGGAAACAGGATAGATCTCATAGTGGGGAGGGTGTCTTAAAGGAGGGTGGGTGCTGTGCCCCTGCAGAAGTCACAACTGGTATAGAAGTTATGGGGCAGGACTTCCTGACTTCTAGACGTGGGCTCCCAGAGGTGGTGAGTTGCCTGTCAGTGTTAGTGGTGGTGGGCAGAAGTGTTCTGCATGGAATGAGAGGTCCCAAGGACCATCTACTCCCAACAGTCTATAACCACAACTATGCAATTTGAAAGAATTTGTGCAAAATTTCAAAGATATATAATAATAGACCAGTAAAATGAACCCTACATGCCCATCACCCAGACCCAACAATGATCAAGATCTTGCATACTCACTGTGCAATTTTCCTGCCAAAATCTGCATCCTTTTCTTTCTCAAATCCATTCTGGTGGCCAAAGAGGAATTCTTCCCAATTTTCTTCCTTAGAGAAGCCCATTTTCTCCAGTTTCAAGAGGTGGTCAGTGCCCAAGCCTTCCATCTTGTTTAAGAATAATGGAATCTGAAAAAAGGACTATAACTGTAGGACCTCACCAGATGCGGGCCCCTGTACCCATCATTAGTCCTCAAAATCCCTCAGGACACTGTTAAACTGCCTCTTAGCTTCCTCTCTTCTTCCTCTTTCTGCACCCCTGCCCCATGGCCCAACTTTTAGTCCAGAGCTCGGCACCCTCCTCTGCCCGTCTGAGCCACAAGCAGGATGAAGCAGGACCTGTGGGGGATGTTGGCAGACCTAAGCTTTAGGCATAGGAGAAGGAAAATAGGGCAAGGAGGCAGGGAGGAAAAGTCTTAGAGGAGAGAGGACAGGTAAGAGGCACTGATGACAGAGGGTAGGATGTGGTGGCTGTTCTCTAGGGCGTCCCCACTAGTCCCCCTCCCTGCTGAAAGGATGGAGACACAGACAAGATATGGAAAACCTCCACTCATCACCTCTCCACTCTGGGGTGAGAGGAGTGAATCTAGTTTGGTGAATGCCAGAGGGTCCTTTCCTTGAGGGTCTCCTCTACTCAGTTCCTTAGTTCAGGAGCTACCAAGAAGGCTTAGTTATTAAGGGACTCTAAGGGGCCACCTAAGGAAAAGGTGCTTCCCTGGCAAATGCTGGCTGCTGACTGTGCATTGGAGCCAGGTGCTGGTATCTACACCTGTTAGGAATGTCATAGCCTTGACTTTTGCCTTGGCCCTAGGACTATCCATCCCTTGCCTTGCTTGGAGAGAAATTGGCAGAGAACAACATCAACCTCATCTTTGCAGTGACAAAAAACCATTATATGCTGTACAAGGTATGCTGGGAGGGAGGGAGGCTAGTGATTTGTGGGGTGAAGTGGGTGGTGAGGAGTGTTTACAACTCTGCCTATCTGGGGGAAATTCAAAGGAGGGGTGGAATATAGCCCAGTCTTGATCTAATGGAAAATAATAGGAGGAAACAATTAAGCATTCGCATAGCAGTGAATACCTTACAAGAAATTTGAACATATAGTATCTAATTTGATTCTGAGAAAAACCTTGAAAATAGCATGAATTCCCATTTTTTTGGGTGATGAATTGGAAACAGAGAGGCACACTCTACTAGAGAAGGAAAATATAAAATGAAATGAAGATACACACAAAGAAAAGTAAGGCATCTCATCAGGCTACGTCACTAATCTCTGTATTCCAGAGCTTTATGCCTGAGCCTGCAGACTATAGGAGACCAGTGGGCTAGTCTGGCGCAGAAATTCCCAAAGAAACCAATAAATGTCCTGAGTGAATACAGCAGTCTGCATATGGATCTGTTCCATTTAAAGAAACTGTTCCTGGGTCACCCTGGACTGCCGCATTTAGTCTGGGGCAGGAATTCCCAAAGAAACCAATAAGTGTCCTGAGTGAATAGAGCAGTCTGGGTATGGATCTGTTCCGTCTAAAGAAACTGTTCCTGGGTCACCCTGGACCATCTTCAAAAACTCCCCACATGAACGTGCTCCTTCTCACAATCACAGATGAGCCAAGTTTGAATTACAGATCTCCTCGGTGTGCTCATGTAAGCTAAATGTAAACTCGTCTCTGAGATTCTTTTACGTGATGAAGCAATGAGAACTTAATCTGGAATCCCTCTCCACCCTCCACCCCCAGAACAGCTGGCCATAGTTCCCTCTCCTTCTTGCTCTTGAATGTCCACAAAAGAACCTTTGTCTGATTGTGTTTTTCTATTGCTCCTGCCTGAGATTATCACTGATAAAATGCCACTTATATTTTCTTGAGTTCTTTATCCTCCTTTAGTTCAAATCAATGTTAGAAGATGAAACAAGGGAAAAGGATTGTTTTTCTTTTTTTGTTTAGTGGAAGATAGCAGGATAAAGCCTATTCAGGGCGTGGTGGTGTGTGCCTACAATCCCAGCTACCGGGGAGGCTGAGGCAGGAGAATCTCTTGAACCCAGGGGGCAGAGGTTGCCGTGAACCAAGATTGCACAATTGCACTCCAGCCTGGGGGACAGAGTGAGATTCTGTCGCAAAAAAAAAAAAAAAAAAAAAAAAAAAAAGCCTATGCACTTACAAATAACGTTTTATGTTTTTAGAGGGCTCAATTGCACAGACTGTATTGGGTTTCCAGATATTTCCAGAGGGAAGAAGTCCATACTGGCTTAAGCATCCTTCCTCAGAGCTAAATACACCTTGCTTGGGGGAGGAAGCCCATCCAGTCCCAAGGCAGGCAGAGGGTGGGAGATGTCTCTGTCACTGTTAGAAGTGGAAGACTCAGGAGTTAGTACAGATGAAAGAGGAAAGGTGGGTACTTCAAGGCTGCCCCTTTGCCACAGGACCTCAGAGGTCCGTGGGAGGGCGCCATTCGTTCTCTCAGCTTCCTATTAAAGAAAGGGTCTATACTTGAGACCCTTGGAAAAGTTGCCCTTTTCACGCCTTCTGAACAGATTGAGCAGATCCTGAAAGCTGAACCTGTGAATACCTCAGAGACCGGGGGAGAAATGGCAAGAAACTGTCAGGAGCTGTCGACCTTAGAAGATGGGCTTTTACAGAGCTGTCTGTTACCGTGGGAGGGGCGGGGTCTCAAGACATTATCTTTTAGAGAAAGATCTTGTGAGCCCCTTTCCTATGGATCTATAGGGCTGGATATTCCACGGCGTACTGTAGCAACTCTTCTTCTGTGCCATTTCTTCTTGCTTTTCCCTGTGGGATCTTCTTTAGTTCATGGTGGGAGAAGGTGGCAGGATATGGTTCTAGGAGCCTTTACTGTTCTAGCCCAGTATAGCAATGCTCACTCTGATGGTTGGCAGGGCAAAATGAACTTATTTCTTTTCTTTACTTTTTTTCCCAAGAATTTTACAGCCCTGATACCTGGAACAACGGTGGAGATTTTAGATGGAGACTCCAAAAATATTATTCAACTGATTATTAATGCATACAATGTAAGTCATCAGTTTCTTCCCCCACTGCCACCTCCCTTCCACCCTCTCCCACTGAGGCCCTGCAGCTGCCGCGGGCTCAGGTGGGCAGTTCTCCGTGCTGCTCTTCTTGGCTCTGCTCCCCCATCCCCTTGAGTTTGGTATCTTCTTCCTGCTTCACTCAGGGTCAGGGTGGAGAAACCCATCCTTGCTTGATGAGTCTCCCTCTCACCTCTGCCATCTTGACTCTCATCTGCAGATCTCAGTGAGCCAAGGAGTGGCTCAGACTCAGGCTGGTGGCCTGGGAAGTGCTTAGGTTCTGACACCTCGCATAGGCAGGCAGTGGTATTCTCCACCTACCCAGTGCCCAGGCTAACGCTGCCACCGTATTCTCTGCCTGAGGGAGCAGAGCATCCACCAGCCACAGGACCACACTGCAAGAAGTGAAAAGTTCGCATGCTGAGCTCACCTCACAGTGGCAGGGCGGGAATCCCTCAGGCTCATGGAGCTCAGGGTAGAGCTGCAGACTAACATGGGAGAATCGACAATCCATTTTTTTATTTTTGTTTTTAATTTAAAAATATATATAGAGAGATGAGGTCTCACTATGTTGCCCTGGTTGGTCTGATCTTGAACTCCTGGAAGCAGTCCTCCCACCTCAGCTTCCCAAAGTGCTGGCTTTACAGGCATGAGCCATCATGCCTGGCCAAAGAATCAATGTTTTTGCCTACCTACTTAAGATGTGATTGTAATGAAGTCCTTTCAGAGGGTTCGTGAATGGGGCTATTAAATTCTGTGCTATTGTAACATATCATGTGAAATTGGCCCTAATATAATAAGTGTAAGTTCTTATAGAGGTGGTTTAGGAATCACTTTCACATTCCAAGCCACGCATCCACAGACTCACCTCCCAAGCCTTTCTCTTTCCTACCCTCCTTTCCCTCGATTCATAACACCCCAAAAGTACTTGACTCAGACCTACCTTCTGTCAGGCAAACGGCAGGCAGAGCTCTTGTGTTGGGAAGTGTGGACCTTCTGCTATCCCTTCTCTTGTGGGTCCCAAGATGGTTATGGCATCCATTGCCTACCCACCTGCTCAAGGCGCCAGGTAATTTCTAAATTGGCATTCAGAGTGCATCTTCCTGTTAAAACTAAGTTATACACAGACTAAGTGTGGCTTAAGTAACATTATTAATCCTAAACTTAGGTAAAACAGGTTTTTCTGGCTAACCTGGGAACCTAACGAATCAGTACGGCATCACACATCTGTGAGAAAAGTCATCTTGCCTTCCCAGCAGTGACTGATTACAAATGAGTGTTTGGAGCTGGGCCTTTCCCAATGTTGGCCTTGTCCATCTTCCAATGTGGCCCTGTTTTGAGTTGCAAAGTACTGCCCAGCTAGGGGGAACCCTGGGGCTTGGGGTGTAGCCAGCCCTGCGCTTAGTTCCCTGGAGCCTCAGTGTCCTGAAGGCAACCGGGTGGGCAGCAGTGAGGATTTTTGGCTTGTTTTTACCCCCTTTCTTCCCCCTTCCCACTGCTCCCATCTCCTGTTGTAGCCAAGGGTCCTCTTGCTCTCACAGATTCAGATACTCCTGGAACTTCCTATTGTGAGAAACTGAAGACTTCCTTCTCTCCTACCCCATTGCCCACATACTAACATCCTCTTTTCTGTTCTCTGGCCCTTAGAGCCTCACCAGATCCCATAGGCACTTCAGAACCCAGAGTGCAGTGAGACAGGGTTTCCTAATTAACTTTACACCGTAGTGCCTTTCAGATTCCACGGTGAGTGATTTGCTTTACACTTCAGGAAGAGGGGGAACACGTAAGCTGGTTATGTGGGCACAATAGGTCTGCTGAAGTGCGACACCCAGAGAGGGTTTGGGATGTGAGCCTGCATGGGAAGGAGGGGCAGGCCTGTGAATGTCACCCTCTTTCCTGGGGTGAGCTGGTGTGAGCTGTGAGCCGCTTGGGTCTCAATCTCTGGACACTGAACTAAGAGAACCAAATCAAGAGCCAGAACCCCTGCCTTGCCACTCTCCCCTTCCCTCTGAGGATGCCAGAGCTGGGAGACCCCACAGGGCAGAAGGTGCACTGCTGCTGGACCCACTCTCACAGGCAGGGAGGCCACCGCTTGCCTCCTGCTGAGTCAGGGCCTTTGGGAAGAAATGGCTGAAGAGCAGCTCATCTGGGCTCTGTTGAGTGGGGTGAGGTCCCTCTTTAAGGCTTCTGCGGAGGGGCCACTTGTCAGCATTTCATTGTCAGCCACCTCCTGAATTCAGAGCTCTGGAGCTCCCCAAGAGCATTGGCTGGTGAAGGCCCAGGCCCCCTGCTCCTGGCGGCTTTGATATCAGAGGGCATCATGGCGCACAGCTCCATAGACCTGGCTGGGCAGCCTTGCAGCAGCAGGGAAGGCACACTGGTCAGCCAGCTTCTATGTGACTGGTGGGTTCTGCGTGTCTGTGCTTCTGCTGGGACCGCTGAAAACCAGGGAGCAGGAGGCTTTCTTATTGGTTCCATGCATGGGATCTCATAAGTGCTTAGCCCTGAGCAGGATTTCTCATATATCTACATTCATTTTCCTAGTGGAAATCCAGGTACCCAGGGTCAAGGAGTGACAAGGGAAAGCATTCCCTGTGTGGTAGGCAGAGGCCAGGAGAGGAGTGTGGATCCCTCCCTGCTGATGGGGAGTGGGGAGCAGGGGTGAGTACAGGGAACAGTTGTTCTGGGCTGGAGCTGCTTTTGGAACCTGGCACGAATTCCCAGAGGAACTGTGGGAACCTAGCACTGTCGCTTGATTCTGCGAGTTAAACTGGTTCCTGTAAGTAAACATGTTGTGAAATGAAGCTGATGACTTATGAATGAACTTTGAAACTCAGCACTTTTAAAAATGAGTGATTATGACCAGGCGTGGTGGCTCACACCTGTAATTCCGGTGCTTTGGGAGGCTAAGCTGGGAGGATCACTTGAGGCCAGGAGTTTGAAATCAGCTTGGTCAACATAGCGAGACCAAAAATTTTGTGAAAATTAGCTGGGCATGCTACTTGGGAGGCTGGGGCAGGAGGATCGCCTGAGCCCGGGAGTTCAAGGCTGCAGTGAGCTATGATTGTATCACTGTGCTCTAGCCTGGGTGACAGAGTGAGACTCTGTCTCTTTTTTTTTTTTTTTTAAATTGGAAAAGAATTGTAAAGCCTTATTGACATATAATTAACATACAGCAAACTGTACTGATTTAAAGTGTATAATATGAGTGTTGGCACAGGTATACACCTGTGAAACCGTCGCCACCATAGAGATACTGAACATGTTCATTACTCCAAAAAGTGACCCTTGATAATTCCCTTCTTCCACCCCTCCCTTCAGGTGAAATTTAAAATATATATATTAAATATAGAAATGTAAAACTGCAAGATATTTGAAGCAAGTTCAGTTGGTCAAAGCCATGTCAGGGGTATGTTGGTTTCCTGTGTTGATTAGAACCTGTGATACTGTGGTACGATAAGATATATATATAGGTCTCTGCCCCTAGTTCCTAATATAAAGCCCCTAAAACCTTTATAGATAAGGACACTAGGAGAATCTTTTGTTATTATATTTGGTCTTTAACGCTGGTTCCCGACACAGAGTTTCCAAGACCATTGTAGTTTCCTGGGTAATAGGAACATCTTTTGTTCTAATGAGGTGACTCTTGGGGGGTGCTCCTGGACAGCCTCAGGATGGTGGCTGGTTGCCAGGGGAACCAGCCATGTGATTAGAGGGTTGGAACTTTCAGCCCCACTCCATGACCTCTGGGGAGGTAGAGAGGGGCTGAAGGTTGAGTGGATCACCAGTAGCCAGAGATGTGACCAGTCATGCCCATGTAACAATGCCTCCATGAAAACCCAGAAGGCCTGGATTTGGAGGGCCTTGGGAAAGCTGTGGGACAGGTTCCTGGAGAGTGGCACCAGAGAGGACAGGGAAGTTCTGCACCCTCCTCACACACCTTGCCCTGTTTCTCTTCATCTAGCTGTTCATCTGCAGCCTTTATCTCTTATTCATATGTGGGTAAGTGTAAACAAACTGTGTCCCTGAGTTCTGTGAGCCATTCTAGCAAATTGATGAAAGAAGGAGAGGGGTCATGGGAATTTGAATTTATAGCCGATCAGTTGGAAGTATAGATGACAACCTAGTACTTGTGATTGGCATCTGCGGTGGGGGCAGTCTTGTGGGCTGAGCCCTTCACCTGTGGGACCTGACACTATGTCCAGGTAGATAGTGTCAGAATTGTGCTGAATTAGAAGATAACCAACCAGTGTCCAGTAGAGAATTGCATGGTGTGTGGGGGAAAAATCCTCACATCTGGTGTCAGAAGTGTTGTGTTGAGTGGTGTGTGAGAGTAGAGTAGGAAAAACAGTTTGGGTTTTTCCTTCCAAGTACTCATCTTACTTGCTCCTGTCCTGGCCAACGGGAAAGGCTGGGCTGGGCTTCAAGCTCCTTGCACTTGGACTTTTCCCAACTTTGAGCCCCAGCACGGGCCCCTGGTCCATGTGGGGTGTGCCGGGGCAGCAGGAGAGGTTTTCGTCAGCTCTGCTCTCCTTTCACCTGCTCCGCATCCGGCCAGAGTCCAGTCACAGCTCTCTCCAGACCGCTTGTGTTTTTGTCACCTCACCGTCCGAGTGGTTTGTGTTGGATTTCATGAGTCATGCAACACATGACTAAGTGTGGGTGTTGGCTTTTACCTCCCCTAGAGTGCTGGCAGACCATCTGTGGGGACATTCTGAGCAGATTTGGGTTGGAACATATGTAACAGATGCAATGGCTGTGGTATTTGGCCAGGCTGAGGAGGGAGCAAAATGGAAAGGGTATGTTTAATTTCATGTCTTGTAGAATCAAGTCTGGTGTACACATCTCTCCGAGTGTGAAATCAAGTTGGATTTATACATTTTTTCTTGCTGTGCCAAATTCTTCACTGTGAGAAATCACCAAGTCTTCCCAAGGGAGTTTGGCAATGTGGTGCTTTGCTCTGTAATAAGTGCTGGTGAGAGAATCCCCTCCTGAGCTCAGCCGTGGAGCCCTGGGTCCACACGTGCAGAGGGGGCTGGCCTCATGTTGCACCCAGAAAGGCCTCTTTTCAGTGTGGGAGCGAACAGAATGAGTTGGAAAGCACTGGAGCTGCATGTGGAGGGTGACTTCAGAAGCTGTGGTGTATTTTTCTCTAGCAGAGCACATGTTTCTCTTTTTGTTGTTGCCATAAAGTCTGCTCCCACCCACTCCACAGCTGGCCCGACTTAAAGCAATTGCAGATGTGACCTAACCTGACCGAGTATTTAATAGCCTTTACACTTCTGACATTCCCAACATCATCTTGTTTCCTACTGGAGAACTAAGGAGTGCACCTTGAGGGGCGAATCTGGTAGGAGTTAATGGAATTTTAGGAGTCACACATAAAAGTCTTCATGTGTAAGAACTGCACTTTGACTCCATCCATTCACTTATTCAACAGATATATACCAACAGCCTAATGTGTGACAGGGATCATGCTGCACCTTGGAAATAAAATAGTGAGCAAAACACAGTCCTGCCCTCCAGCACTCATAGTTTTGGGGGCAGAGACCCTTACAACCACGATACAACCTGATGATCTCTTTCCAAAGTCACAGAGCCAAATTCCTTTTTATTTTTTTATTTTTGTTTTTTACCTTATCTGTGGACAGAGAGCCAATTTCCAAAGAAAGAAGTGCATATCAGGTGTGGGGATTAGAAAGAGCCCTGGGGTGGGTCAAGAAAGCCTGCACCCGGTCCTGTGCAGCAGAGTGGTCCCAGGCCACCTTTTCCTTGCCCTGACCTCCAGCTTCCATACATGAGAGGTTTGGGCTGCATCATCTCCACGGTTCCTGCTGCCTGAAATGTCTTAAGAGTTTCTGATTCCAGAGACTCTGTGGGTAGCAGGAATAATACAAACTTTATATCAGAACATGGGGCTTATGGCCTGAGTAGAACATAAGAGTCCATTTCCATCTAATTCTTAGTTGCTGACTCACAGAGTAGGAGTCCAAGTCCCTCTTGCTTTTTCCCAGATCCTCCCTTGGGGCTTTCGAGTGGCGGCTTGGGCAGATCTTGCTGGGGAGCACTGGTGTTTCCTTCCAAAGTTTTATTTGTGAACGACAGGGCCCCCATATTTCAAGTTATCGTTCCCAAGTAATTTTTTTACATGCCTTCACTCTTCAGCTCTTTTACAATACTGTTTTATTTCCTCCACTACTTATTCACGGTTATAAATTTATTTTTTAATATTTGTCTTAAGAAATATTTTCATCTACTTGGCCTGAGACCTTAGCATAGCTGTTAAATCATTCATCTGTCTACCCATCCATGCGTTTATTCATTCAACGACAGATTGTACTAAGTCACAGAGAGATCTATGATACAGCCCTTGGACTTCACAACATGGTAGGGAAGACAGATCTGCAAATAGCTAATCACAGGCAGCAGGAGAGTGCTCTGTGTATTGAGTGGCGCTTTTGTGACCCTTGGCCAGTTAAGGCTGGCAAGTTGCAAAGGGAAGTGGATTTAAGACGGATCATATTTTTAGAGTTGTAGAAGCACTTAGATAATTTGTTGCAAAGGGAGAGACTATTTTTTACAGAAAGTATTTTCAACAAGCTGTTAATTTGCTGGAAAACTACATATTTCACTTATTCAACTTTAGCACTATATGCTCAGCAAAAAAGAGAAAGAAAGAAAGAAAGAAAGAAAGAAAACCCACAAGAGCAAGAGGCAAGTCTGTCTGCTGTTCTCTCCAACAGCCACACTCCCTAGAGTGTACCCGAGGAGGGAGAGGGAATCCGCAGGGCCGTCTGCGGATGTTGGGGTCCTTGTCTCTCATATGGGTACATCATGCTATACTCTGTGTTGAGTGTATAAACAGACAGTTGTTTTAAATTTTCTGGTAAAATATGACCTCTGAATAAAAGCTACTTACTTCATTTGGCCTCAGTCTCCAAAGTGGAATCTTCCTTAGAGATTTTCAAAGAAATTATTATTATTATTATTATTATTCTTAATTTTTTTAAGAAACAATCTCACTCTGTCTCCCAGGCTGGAGTGCACTGGCATGATCATAGCTCATTGCAGCCTTGAACTCCTGGGCTCAAGCGATCCTCCTGCCTCAGCCCCCTGAGTAGCTACAGGCATGTGTCACAAGGACAATTTTTTAAACTAACAGACGTATAGAAAATTTCACACACTTTTCACAAATTAAATAAACCTGAGTATCCAGCACCAAGGCCAAACACACAGAACATTAGCCAGGCCCAGAAGTCCCTATTCTGCCCTCTTCCATCGCAATCCCTCAAGGGCAACCATTAATTTTGCCTGTTTTTGAATTTCATATAAATAGAGTTATACAATATATATGCCTTTGTCTCTGCCTTCTTTCTAGTAATGTTATATTTGTCAGATTTATCCATATTATTACATGTAGTCATATTTTATTATTTCTCATTACTGTATGGTATTCCACTATATGAACATACTACAATTTTAAAAAATCCATTCTACTCTTGCTAGGCACCTGAGGAATTTCCAGTTTCTAGCTATTACAAGCAGTATTGCTGTAAACATTCTTGTCCATGTCTTTTTGGTGACGCATACACTTCTGTTGGATATAATCCTGGGTGAATGCTAGGTCTGAGGTTGGCCTAAGCTTTAGTAGATATAGCCTAATGGCTTTCTATAGGATTGCACGAATTTTCACTCCCACCAGCAGGGTTGGGGAGCCCTAGTTGCTCTACATCCTTTCCCAACACTTGATGTTCTTAGTGTTGGGAAATAATAGAAAAAAACTTTACTTTTTTTCTATTCTGATAGGTAATTTTGACTTGATTTTTGTTTGATTCACTGTCTTAAGAATATAATCCACACATAAGATTGGAGTCTCTCATTATGTAGTTTCAAACTCAGGCATATGGACCTCATCTGATGGGGATAGGTATGGATGTGAATGACAGGGTGTATTCCTGGAGAAAGTGCCTGCTGAGCTGATTTTGAAGGATGATAAGGAGCCAGCCAGGAGGAGGAGAGAGAGGAGCCATTGTGCAAAGGATCATTGCCCTGGGCACATGGAAAGGCTCAAAGCCTGGAGTACACACTGCAAGATTGAGGAACTGCGTGTCTGAAGCCGAGGATGGGGATGAGAGGTGGCTCTGGAGAAGCAAGCAGGGGATGGGGCATAACCCGTTTGAAGCAGATAATATCATATGGCAGGTCAACCACTATCAACTTCTCCAAACTCACAGAGGGAGACCTCAGGCTGGGTCTAGCAAGATGTTGTGTGAGTGCAGAGAGAAGGGAAAGGATGAGGGAGGGCCAGGGAACCAAGCTCACTGGCTCTTCCTTTGGCTTGGGATTCCTGAGTTAGAGGAAGCCACGTGGGCCTCAGAAAACCAGTGTGGGAGCACCTCAGCCACAGCCTTTATTAAATGGTTGGGCTTCATTTTCTCTCTCCATTCAGAGTATCCGGTCTAAAGTGGAGTTGTCAGTCTGGGATCAGCCTGAGGATCTTAATCTCTTCTTTACTGCTACCTGCCAAGATGGGGTATCCTATCCTGGTCAGAGGAAGTGTGAGGGTCTGAAGATTGGGGACACGGTAAGTCTCACCCCAAGTTTGTATGAACTCTTGTTAGCATTGGTCATCAGTCTTTGGGTTCTAATAACTTTTGTGACTTATTAAGAGTCCTTTCGGAATTTATATTCTGTTTTCCAATTCAGCATCCCAGAGGAGTCTCCTAAGCCTGTTTTGCATGATGTGTTCAGAGTCTCAGGTGAACTTGTTAAAGAGCCCAGTCAATAGACAGCCCTCAGCGCATTGCTACCTGAGGCTTTCTTAAGTTGGCATCGTGACTTTGGTGTTTTAAACCATTATCCTCTTAGCTTGACACAGTTGTAATCAGGAGAAAGAGTACAGGTAGGAATCCAGGAGACCTGTCTTTCATTCCTAGTCTTCTGCAAATAGCTCTGTTCCTTGGATAATCTGACCCTCACTTTTCCGTTCTGTGAAATGTAAAGAAAGCCACTCCCCCCATTCTGTTTTGGTGAAATAGAATGGATGACTCTACAGCAGTGGAGGACACAGATGCCTTGTCCAGATTAAGTTTATTCAAATGATGTGTGAAGATGTGTGCCTCTGCGCTAAACCAAGGACTTGCGTGAGGGAGCAGGGAGGAGGATATGTGGGCAACAAGAACACAGACACAGACACGGGCACAGAGGCCGCGAGTGGTGATGGAGAGCTAGCCACACATCTTCTGGAGGTCCTGCTGCTAGAAGCAGATCATGAGCTCCATTCCTGACTTGCTTTGTTGACAGGTCCAGTGCTCAGAAAACAGAAAGCCAGTGAGGGATAATTCTCTTCTACACTTAAAAGAATCTAGTTAGAAACAAAAAAATTATAGAGACCTTACAAATAGGTGGCTATATCCTCTTGGCATTCATAGCACTCATGACGGCCAAGGCGGATATAAGCTGACTCATCCCCCTGGCTTCAGGGAAAGAGCTTGCGGAGACAGGGACAGTCTCGTGGCTGGTAGCAGTGGTCTCCTCGGGTTTCTCCATATTCCACTGTAGATCCTCTCCCATCCCTGCCTTCACACTTGTCCCTCACCCACTTCACAACACACAGACATACCTCTTTTTTTTTTTTTTTTTTTTTTTTTTTTTTTTTTTTTTTGAGATGAAGTCTCGCTCTGTCGCCCAGGCTGGAGTGCAGTGGCACGATCTCGGCTCACTGCAAGCTCTGCCTCCCGGGTTCACGCCATTCTCCTGCCTCAGCCTCCTGAGTAGCTGGGACTACAGGCGCCCGCCAGCCCGGCTAATTTTTTTGTATTTTTAGTAGAGACGGGGTTTCACCATGGTAGCCAGGATGGTCTCGATCTCCTGACCTCATGATCCACCCGCCTCGGCCTCCGAAAGTGCTGGGATTACAGGCATGAGCCACCGTGCCCAGCCACAGACATACCTCTTACCCTTCTCAAATCTTTCTGCAGTGCCTCGCTCCCCCAAATAAAGGGACAGTTCAAAATATCATATGGAAGTTGAGAAAATGAAAGCCTCTTATGACTGGCTACCAAGGCCTTTTCTAAGACACGTTGTTTCCAAGTTTCTTTTGCTTTTAACAAGATTGAAAGAAGGCCTAATCAAGCTGTCTGATGATAAGTCATTACAAATGATAATTTATTTATTTATTTATTTATTTGGAGAGAGAGTCTTGCTCTGTCACCCAGGCTGGAGTGCCGTGGCACGATCTCGGCTCACTGCAACCTCCGCTTCCCAGGTTCGAACGATTCTCATGCCTCCGCCTCCCAAGTAGCTGGGATTATAGGCATGCACCACCACACCTGGCTAATTTATGTATTTTTAGTAGAGACGGAGTTTCACCATGTTGCTCAGGCTGGTCTTGAACTTCTGGGCTCAAGGGATCCTTCCACTGCAGCCTCCCAAAGTGCTGGCATTATAGGTGTGAGCCACCATGCCTGCCCACAAATGATTATTTATGGCTTTTAACTCAGAAGACATTCATAGAACAAGGTGACATTGCTGTTACAAAACTCTTGTTCCCATCTTCCTATTTATGTGAACTTTTTTTGTGCTTAAATCTCTACAAATGAAAAATAGAAATATAATTGATGTGGATCCCTGTCTTGTTTAGCAATAATTAATATTATTTTACATCGGGGGGAAAGCCTCATCTCATTAAAGAGGTACTTCCAATAACATTTTACTGTTTATTTTTAATAATTGTAGGAAGTTGCAATGTATTTATGTTGTTTTCATCCATTATAATGATTGCTCAATCCAGATGATTAAAAAAAAAAACACTAATGCTTTACAGTGACAGGACAGGATTTAAAGAGATAGTTATAAAAAATGGAATGAGGCCAGGCGCAGTGGCTTACACCTGTAATCCCAGCACTTTGGAAGGCCTAGGCGGGTGGATCATGAAGTTAGGAGATCGAGACCATCCTGGCTAACACGGTGAAACCCCGTCTCTACTAAAAAATACAAAAAAAAATTAGCTGGGAGTGATGGCGGGTACCTGTAGTCCCAGCTACTCGGGAGGCTGAGGCAGGAGAATGGCATGAACCCGGGAGGCGGAGCTTGCAGTGAGCCGAGATCGCGCCACTGCACTCCAGCCTGGGCGACAGAGTGAGACTCAGTCTCAAAAAAAAAAAAAAAAAAAAAAAAAAATGGAATGAGGCAGAAATACCAAAAAACCCCAACAACATGTAAGTGAATTCTATAGATCTGTGGGTGGAATGTTTGGTGTAGCATGTCAGGAAAGCTGAAGGATAATGTGGGAAATATACCCAAACAAGGAACCCTTTACTTGGAGAAATAGGTATGATGGAAAAGAGATGGGAGAGGGATGGACTGTCTAATCTAGCATACGCCAGGTTTCAGGAAGGCTCTTGACAATTTCTAATGACATCCTTATAAATAAGGCAAATATTTAATAATATGGGTTGACAACAGCACAGTCATGCGGATTTGTAGCTGGGTGAACATGTTTTCTGAGAGTGTTGATAATGCAGCCAGAGGGAGGACTTGACTGAGGTTCCAATGTCTCTTGTCTGTTGTGTTTATCATTGGCTTGGGTTGAACTCATAGGAGACCTTATCAAATGTGGGAAGGCTGCAGAGCTGGAGAAAACAGCTTATGTTATAAAGCAGGAAAGCCAAGATTTAAAAATATTTTTCGAAATTGAGATGGATTGAAATCATGAAGATTAATGTCTTATGTTTTAGTTCAGAATGTTACTAGGATATAGGAAACTTGGTTTGATAGTAAAAGAAAAACATCTGGCAGACTATAATGGCTCAAAGGCTCAATGCAAATAAACAGTGATTAAAAAAAAAAAGTCCGCCAGGCGCAGTGGCTCATGCCTGTAATCTCAATACTTTGGGAACTCAAGGCGGGAGGATCACTTGAAGCCAGGAGTTTAAAACCAGCCTGGACAATGAAATGAGACCCCCATCTCTACAGAAAATAAAAAATTAGCCGGGCATGGTAGCGCACACCTGTGGTCCCAGCTGCTCAGGAGGCTGAGGCCAGAGGATGGCTTAAGCCTAGAAGTTCAAGGCAGCAGTGAGCTATGATCACACCACTGTATTCTAGCATAGATAACAGAGTGAGACCTCGTCTCTTAAAAAAAAAAAGTAATGGCAGTAATGGCTAGGCACAGTGACTCACACCTATAATCCTAGCATTTTGGGAGACTGAGACTTGTTAATTGCTTGAGCTCAGGAGTTCGAGACCAGCCTGGGCAACATGGCAAAACCCAGTCTCCCCCAAAAATACAAAAATCATCTGGGCGTGGTGGAGAGCACCTGTGGTCCCACCTAGTTGAGAAGCTGAGGTGGGAGGATCGCTGGAGTGTGAGAAGTTGAGGCTGCAGTGAGCCATGACTGGGACACTGCACTCCAGCCTGGGTGACAGAGTGAGACCCTGTCAGAAAGAAAGAAAGAGAGAGAGAGAGAGAAAGGGAGAAAGGAAGGGAAAGGAAGGAGAGAGAGAGAGAGAAAGAAAGAAACGGAAAGGAAGGGCAGGGCAGGGCAGGGAGGGAGGGCAGGGCAGGGCAGGGCAAAAGAAAGGAAGGAAGGAAGAAGAAAGAAAAAGAAAGAAGGAAGGAAGGAAGGAAAGAAAGAAAGGCGGGCACGGTGGCTCACGCCTGTAATTCCAGCACTTTGGGAGGCTGAGACGGGTGGATCACCTGAGGTCAGGAGTTCGAGACCAACCTGGCCAACATGGTGAAACCCTGTCTCTACTAAAAATACAAAAATTAGCGGGGCGTGGTGATGTGCACCTGTATTCCCAGCTACTCAGGAGGCTGAGGCAGGAGAATCGCTCAAACCTGGAAGGCAGAGGTTGCAGTGAGCCAAGATTGCACCACTGCACTCTAGCCTGGGTGACAGAACAAGACTCCTTCTCAAAAACAAACAAACAAAAAAGATAAGTGAATAAAAAGTAATGCCAGTTGAAGCTGTGTTTAATAGAGATATTTTGAAACCTCACACCTGGAGTTCTGTATTTTGTTCTTTATTTTATTTTATTTTATTTTATTTTTAGAGACAGGGTCTTGCTCTTGTTACCAGGCTGCAGTACAGTGGCTTGATCATAGTGGACTGTAACCTCTAACTCCAAGGCTCAGGCAATCCTCCCGCCTCAGCCTCCCAAGTAGCTGGGACCACAGACCTGCACCACCATGCCCAGCTAATTTCTTTGTGGTTGTTTTTTTTGTTTTGTTTTGTTTTTTAAGAAACAGAGTCTTGCTATGTTGCCCAGAATGGTTTTGAACTCCTGGCCTCAAGTGATCCTCCTGCCTCGACCTCCCAAACTACTGGGACTACAGGCATGAGCCACTGTGCCCAGCCCGGTTCTTTTTTGAAAAAGAAAAGTGACAAGCAACTATCATGATGAATTGTTTAGAAGCTAGAAAGGTCAAAGGAACTAATGTTTGTCAGCAGAAAGATTGTAAAGTCAGAACTCTTTCCAGATGCAAAAAAAACTGAAGCCACTTTATGCTGCCCAAAGTGAAAAGGAGAGTCATTCTAAATATATTGGGGTTCCTTATGGAAAGCAGGAATACAGTTAGTCTTGGGAAGGACCAGAAACAACCTAGACAATGAGTGGTCTGTGGTCACTAATTGCCTGTGAGGAAGACATTGTTTTTCATGCTGACAGATGGGGAAGACTGAGGCACAAAGCATACAGGTACATAGCCTGAAGTGTCGACATGAAAATTCAAAGCCAGGGCTTTCTGTTCTGAAGCCAGCTCCCTCACCACCTTTATCCGGCTTCTTGGTGCCCACGATTCTATTCTACCAAACCTATTTCAAAGGACTCTACCAGCACAAAGTACAATCCTGAGGAACAGGAGCCTCCACGGGAGAGTGCCGCTGACTGAGCCCCCCTGCACCATGTGGGGAGCCCAGCGCTCGCGCACTGCTGACAGGCAGCCTGGGATTTGAGGATGAGCGTGACTTGCCCCAGCTCACCCAGCTAAGAGACAGTGAACTCACAAGCCAAACCAAGGCCGTTCCCCCTCCACACCAGGTCATCTCGCTCATCACTGCCTCCCCATTACAGAGCAAATTGTATTTGTTTGCATGGAATGGGGACATCCAATGTGCCGTGTCCAACGTGCCCCTTACTGTGGTGGGGGCATTACTGCTGCTGTCTGCCTCTTACAGCAGCTTTATAAGGGAGCTGTTCCTTCGCCATTTTATGTATGAAAAACTGAGACTCAAAGTGGGGCCTGAGAAGCGTGCCAGAAGCCTCAAGCATCGGGAGCCAAGTTGGGGGCTGCTTCCGAGGCCACAGTGCATGCGTTTCCCACACACTTTGGGGAGTAACAGCTTTTAGGAAGCATACAGTGGTGTCATGGCCACTTATGGATGGACACCCTAGTGTACAGATTTTGATTTTTGCTGGGATACCTCAGAAAAATGGGGAAATTGTCCAGAACTTGAAAAAGATTTTACATGATTTTTCAAATGCTCTGAAAATCTCAGAGGTATTGAAGTGGTTTTTAGAGCATTCGAAGCGACACTAAAGAGGAGGGGAACTTCTGCTCAGGCCGGCACCTTTGACAGCTCTTCCTGTGGGATTGGATGGGCCGCAGCCCTGTGGGAACAGCAGGGGTCCTAGGCAACTGACCCGAGCTGGCCCTTTGTTTCTACTCACTGTCCCAGTGTTGTTGTCTTGCTGTCCGAGGGCCATGGTCACATGGCCCCTGACTCCACTGCGAGGGCTGTGGGGTTTTTGTTTTCTGTGGATGAAGACAGGCTGGCACAGGGCAGTGGCCACTCTGCTCTTCAGAGCCAGACATGATTCTGTTCACAAGAGCCACACCAGGCCATGCAGGCCAGGAGAGGCAGCTCTCTTGAGGGCCTTGGAGGCCATCGGGGGCAGAACTGGCTCCATCATTTGTAGGTCCCAGTGCAAAATGAAAATATGGGGTCCATGTTCAAAAATCATTAAGAATTCCAACACAGCAACCACAGAGCATTAGAGTAAGCGTGGGCCCTTCTGAGTGGGGGCCCTTGTGACTGCACAGGCATACACCAGGGAGCCGGCCCTGGCACGGGGAGTTGAGGGGCTTTCCCTCTTCGTTGAAGGAGAGGGGTCTGTCAGTTCCTCTGATCCCCAAGACAGAAGGGGTGCACTTACAGCTGGGACCAGTCTGGTTTTCTTAACCCTGGCCCAAGAAGGCAAACTTTCCATCCCTTCTCTCAGGCTGAACTGTCTCCAAAGCATTGACAGTTGGGCTTTGGCAAGCAGGGGTGCTACTGAGTGTGTGAGTATTTCCCTCTGGACGTGTGTCCCCAAGCCATACATTTCAGAACTTGCCAGTGACTGTGCTGACATCCACTCGTACTCAGTAAGTGTTTATGTACCAAATCCCGTGCTCACTCAAGATGGACAAATGAGGCCACAGATCAGGGGCTCAGAGTCTGGTGGAGGAAATAACATGCAGAGGAGTCAGCCCCGTAGAGGGTGATGAGTGCTGTGGGAAAGCCAGGTGTGGCACTGCAGGAGCCCAAGGAAGAAGGGCCCAGCACTGCAGAGGGAGCTGTTGGAGCTGAGGCTCAGAGCACCAGTAGGAGTTTCCCAGACAGAGAAAGCCGGGGTGGGCTGGTCCCATCAGTGGGCCTCCCATGTGCATATTGGCAAGATGTGTCTGCTAGGGTGTGAAGAGCATCATCCTTTGGCCAGTGGAAAGCAGCTGATGGTGACGGCCATGGAGGCAAGAGGAGTGGGCTGGGGAGGGAGGGGAGAGTGGCTGGCTTGGGCCACAGTGGTGAAATATACCTGCCAACCTAAGGGGTCTGGCCATTCTGGCCATTGTTTGGCAAGTGGGTTCCATTCTTTGGTGGCAGGAGTTGGGAGGGCTATGGGCAAGTCAGGGAATGGTGGTGGGGGTAGACAAGAGTATCAAGCATAGCTGGAGGGTCTGGGGACTCCCCTGGAGAAGAGGGATTAGGAAAAGCAGACACAGTTCAGGTGTCATCAGGGATCTCAGGGTCTGGCCTGTGGACAAGGACACGGCCCGTATGAGGGGCAGCCAGATGGACCTCGCCTCCTCATTATCACAGCTTCCTGCAGAGGTGGAAGAGGTGCAGGCTGTGGTTCTGTGACAACCCTGTGTGCTCTGGGTCAAGACAGATGTCTAGCAAGAAGCAGGAGAGGTGGCAGGGCAGGGGCTGAGGGGCAGGGATGTCCTCAAAGAGAAATACGGCTTAAATCAAACCTTGAAAGCCCCAAATCCAGTGAGATTCTCTTTCCCAGTGATTTCAATTGTTTCCCTAATTTTCCTCCCTTTATCCTACACCAACCATCGGGAGTCAGTTTACTCAGGAACTGGCTTCAACAAATCAGTATGCAAGTGGCTGGCTGTGAGGCTAGCACAGACGCCCAGCACAAAGCAGCCAGTGAACCCCGTCATGGGCTTCCCACAGCACCCCCTCCCCGCTCCCGTCCACTCCTCGGGACTCTGTAGCCTGTGCCCATCCCAGCTCCTTTTTTGTTGAGATCTGAGCAGACTTGGCATCTGCATAGGATAGCCCTGGATTTGGTGGGTTCAGGGTGGGGGCTGGGCAGCCCTTTTGAAAGGGTGCATCAGGCCAGTCAGCTCCACAGGGGAACCAGGAGAATCCCAATGAAGTTCTAATAACAAGACCGAGTGGGAGGGCTGCTGTGTCTGTGACCTTCCTCTGGAATCTCAGAGCGAATGAATGGAAAGTGTCCAGGAACTGGGGAGCCTTCAGTATCAGTTGAAGTTCTCAGGAATCAGGGGAGGGACTCGAAGAGGCCTCATTCCAGCTGCCTTCCAGCCTTTCTGGATTCTTTCCAAATCCAGTAGGGAAAATGGACCCTCTGAAAGGAGGGGTAAGCAAACAGATTTCCTTGCTGGTCCTGAAGTGCTTTTTATAGCACTTCCCGTGCCCAGCAGGAGCTGAGACCCAGTGGCTGAAATAGACAGAACATTCTCTGGTTATCAGGCATCTGGCTACACTCCAGGCTGCACAGGGCCAGACAGATAGCACCTCACTTGGACCGAAGGCTTGGCTGGGGAAGGCCTCAGGACCTGCTTGAAAGCTGGGCCCTCCTTGCTTGCCCAGCTGGGCAGACAGTGCCCAAGTGTTTCTACATGCTGGTGATTGAGTGCCAGAACTTTAGGGGTGCCCTAACCTCCCACTTTCTCCCAGACACATCAGCAAGATTCTGGAGACTTAACTCTCACTTTCATTGCTTTAACCCCAAGGCAGGCAAGTTTCCATGAGACAAGGTTATACTCACAGGTGTGTACTCCCCACAGTCTTTCAATAATTAAATGCCTTTGGCTCTTGGTCCAGGTCATTCCTCTGTAGTTTATTCAGTTTCTGACCCGCAGATGCCTCTGTGGAGCACAAGTCCAGCAAGTTGTAGCCCTAGAAGTACAGGGTTTCAGCTGTAACTTGAAGCAAGCTACAGGTAGCTTCAAGCATGTCACTGTTGTGGGAGCTTCAAGCAAATAGTAATAGGAGATGCAAGCAAGTTTCTCTCTGGGCCTCAGAAGGGAGGGATGGCATCTGCCCCTCAAAGCTCCATTCACCTCTGCATTCTTGATGGCCCCACGGGTGGCTTCGGGCAGGCATAGTCCCCACTCTTATCCTATCTGCAGGCTCAAATCGTTCCCAGCCCACGGCAGAAAGATGTGGAGATGCCTCTGGCCACCACTTTGGGGATCACCATCAAGGGGTCCCTTTAGTAAGCCAGGCTGGCTCTCCCTGCGCACCCCGATGAGGTAGACCTCATTCCCCCGTCTAGGAGGTGGATATGCTAAGGAGAGCGCGGGCCCTGCTCTAGGCCTGGCCCCACTCATCAGCTGTGTGAGCATGACTAAATCCACCAACCCCGCCAACCCTGTTTTCTCTCTGGTAAAATGAGGACACTTCCTTCTAGGGCATTTAAAAGAGATGCTTGTGGAAAAGTCCAGCACAGTGCCTGGTACATAGTAGGCACTTGGCAACTAATAATTATTAGTGTTTTGTTTTGCTTTTTTTTTCTTTTTGAGACAAGATCTCACTCTGTCGTCCAGGCTGGAGTGCAGTGACACGATCACGGCTCACTGCAACCTCCCCCTCCCGGGCTCAAGCCATCCTCCCACCTCAGCCTTCTGAGTAGCTGGGACCACTGGCATGTGCCAAAATGCCCGGCTAATTTTTTGTACTTTTGGTAGAGATGGGGTTTTGCCATGTTGTCCAGGTTGGTCTCGAACTCCTGGCCTCAAGTGATCCTCCCAGTCTGCCCACCTCAGCCTCCCAAAGGGCTGGAATTACAGGTGTGAGCCACTACGCCCATCCTATTCGTGTTATCCTTTAACCAATTTCAGTGTCCAAGTGGATTGAATCTTTACTCACCTTGAGAGACTCCCTGTACCTCGAGACCTTGGAACTTAGCCTTGGAGTTGTTTTTGTCAATCTCTCCCCTTTGTCTCTTCCTACTCTTCCTACCCCACAGAGATGGAAGGTAAGGTGGAGCTAGCCCAAGCTGTCTGCAGCTGGCCTGGTCCCCCGAGTGTCTTCTGATCCTGCTCCCCTAGCTATCCTCAGCTCACCTATCCAGAAGCCTCTCCTGTTGAGCCTCTTGGCTAATGCTGAGTCCTGGGTGTCTGTTGTCAAGTCCTTTGAAACAGCAGTTTGCTGCCACGCAGGACTTTCTGCAGGACTTATAGAGCAGGATCTATCCTCCTGCTCAGTCCCATACCCTCTCCCCTCTCCCCGTGTCCCTAGATGTCACAGCATCTGAGGGGAGGCCTTTTAGAACCAGTAAAAATCTCAAAGTAATAGGGATCTGTATGTTTAGAAACAGATATTTATAATGTTCTCAAAAAATGAACATCGTGGGCCGGGCGCAGTGGCTCACGCCTGTAATCCCAACATTTTGGGAAGCCAAGGCGGGTGGATCACTTCAGGTCAGCAGTTTGAGACCAGCCTGGCCAACACAGTGAAACCCCATCTCCGTCTCTACCAAAACTACAAAAATTAGCCAGGCATGGTGACAGGCACCTGTAATCCCAGCTATTTGAGAGGCTGAGATGGGAAAATCGCTTGCACCTGGGAGGCAGAGGCTGCAGTGAGCCGAGATGGTGCCACTGCACTCCAGCCTGGGTGACAGAGAGACTCTGTCTCAAACAACAACAACAACAACAAAAACATTGTTACCTGAAGATTGTCCAGTAAATCAAGTGAATGATGACATTTTAAAAATTAGCTTTAATGACTGGGCGCAGTAGCTCACACCTGTAATCCCAGCACTTTGGGAGGCCGAAGTGGGCAGATCACGAGGTCAGGAGATGGAGACCATCCTGGCCAACATGGTGAAACCCCATCTCTACTAAAAATACAAAAATTAGCTGCGTGTGGTGGCGCGCACCTGTAATCCCAGCTACTCTGGAGGCTGAGGCAGGAGAATGGCTTGAACCCGGGAGGTGGAGATTGCAGTGAGCTGAGTGCATGCCACCGCACTCCAGCCTGGCAACAGAGCGAGACTCCACCTCAAAAAAAAAAAAAAAAGCTTTATTCTAGCCGAAAGAATAGAATTAAGAATAGTAATAGCTGAAAGTGGTTTTTAACCCATTCTGAGCTTCAGAATGATCTGAGGAGCCTTTTGAAAAATAAAGACATTTGGACCCAGATCCAGTGAGTCTGTTTGTGGGGTGGGCCGGGCCTCTGTCTGTTCAGGGAGTAAGGGAGAACCCACCCCTGAGTAAAACTTTACAACGGCATTTCATCAGGGCACACTGGCCACCTGTCTGTGCGTTTTCATAGAATCCACAGTGACTTGCTCTCAGGGCCCTGATGGGTGATTCAGACCCCACATGGCTCTCCTCAGGGGGGTGAGGAGGAGAGGGTGGGGGAGTCAGGCTCTAGTTCCTGAATCAGACCAAGCCTCATTCTTGCTTTCCTTCCATCCCAGCCCTGTGGGCAGCTGACAGGCATCCCTCCCGCACCATCTGCCACCCATCCAGGCCCACCTTGAGCCTGTTTTCAAGGCAATCTGTGAGAAGCTCCTGAGTGAGAAACACTTCCTTACATATTCTGTTTAAAAAGAAAAGGTCTGTCCATGTGCATGGTGCATTTCATCAGTTGGAGACTCTTCTTTAAGACCTCAGGGGCATGGGGGGATTGTGAAAGATGCAGCTATGACAAGCACTCACAGAGGAGGAATTGGGGCACGGGGGACTCGGGGGTGTCTGGAGAGCAAGCTCTGGAGTCAGCTGAGCCCTTTGCCAGCAGGCACAGAGCCCTCTCTATGGCGGGCCAGGTGGGTGCCCTTCACCCGGCACCCTGTGAGAGTGCCATTGTGCCTGGCACAGAGGCAGCGCCCAGGAAATGTTTTTCCACCAAATGACTTTTTAAGTGAGCAGAGAAGAGGCATCTGCAGCGGGGCTGGGAAGAGGATAGGACAGAAGAGAAAAGAAAGGGAGAATAAGAACTGTGTGAACTCAAGGAAGCCCTATAGCTTTCCGCAGGGGCCCATTTCCTCAGGGTCATGGGGATGCAAAGAGATAATGAATGTTAAAGAATTCACCTGTCAAATGTGAGCTCACCTGTGCATTCTCTTCTCCATGAAGCATGGGAGCTTGCTGGTTCTGAGGTCTCTTCCTACTCCGGCCATCTTGGTGGTTCTACCTGAGTGCGTGGAGAGGGCTGGAGTTCGCAGCTGCTCTTCATCAAGGGCCCTGCCCCTGGGTGAATGGGAGACCCTGGCTTGCCGCAGCCATGATATCCCTTCTCTTCCTTCTGCCCAGGCATCTTTTGAAGTATCATTGGAGGCCCGAAGCTGTCCCAGCAGACACACGGAGCATGTGTTTGCCCTGCGGCCGGTGGGATTCCGGGACAGCCTGGAGGTGGGGGTCACCTACAACTGCACGTGCGGCTGCAGCGTGGGGCTGGAACCCAACAGCGCCAGGTGCAACGGGAGCGGGACCTATGTCTGCGGCCTGTGTGAGTGCAGCCCCGGCTACCTGGGCACCAGGTGCGAGTGCCAGGATGGGGAGAACCAGAGCGTGTACCAGAACCTGTGCCGGGAGGCAGAGGGCAAGCCACTGTGCAGCGGGCGTGGGGACTGCAGCTGCAACCAGTGCTCCTGCTTCGAGAGCGAGTTTGGCAAGATCTATGGGCCTTTCTGTGAGTGCGACAACTTCTCCTGTGCCAGGAACAAGGGAGTCCTCTGCTCAGGTAAGTGTCCCCAGCAAGCACTTTAGCTCTGAGCCAGGCCAAGATGCCGTTAGGACACCCTCCCAAAGCCTGCCTTTTACTCAGTGGTGGTAGAAAGTGTCACTACCATGGCTCTCCTTGGAGAAGACAGTGGGCAAGCCTTGCTACCCGTAGGCAGGAGGTGGGGATCTGTGTGCAGAATACGAAAGCAGAAGGTATTGCCATAAATTGTGGACTCTCAGAATTCGAGGGGCCTGCGTGGGTCATCCACCTTACTTCCCAATTCATGCAGGACTGGCCTGCACAGCATTCCTGACAGGTAGAGATGTTCAGCCTCTTCTTGATTGCCTCCTGGGACGGGGAACTCACTGGGGCTGGCAGTGGCCATCTGTCCCTTAGCCAATGAACTCATATCTTATTGCTGCTCCCATAACTCACCACAAACCTGTTGGCTTAAAATAATACACATTTAATCCATTACAGTTCTGGAGGCCAGAAGTCTGAAATGGATCTTATTTGGCTAGAATCAAGGTGCCAGCAGGGCTGCATACCTCCTAGAAGCTCCAGGGGAGAATCTGTGTCCCGGCCTTTTCCAGTTCCTAGAGGCCACCTGTATTCTTTGGCTTGCAGCTCCTTCTTCCATTTTCAAAACCAGCAGAGTAACATCCTCAGATCTCTCTGACTCTGACCTCTGCTTCTGTTGTCAAATCCTTCTCCCTCTCCTACAGACCCTTGTGGTTACAAGGGACCCTCAGTCGAACCCTGGAAAGTCTCCCCATCCCCAGGTCCTCAGCTTACTCACATCTGCACAGTCCCTTTCACCACGTAAGGCCACACAGTCACAGGTTCCAGGGATTAGGATGTGGACATCTCTGGGGGCTCTTATTTTTCCTGCCAGAATTCCTCTTTTTTTTTTTTCTGAGATGGAGTCTCACTCTGTTGCCCAGGCTGGAGTGCAATGGCAGGATCTCGACTCACTGCAACCTCTGCCTCCCAGGTTCAAGCAATTCTCCTGCCTCAGACTCCCGAGTAGCTGGGATTATAGGCGCCCGCCACCACACTCGGCTAATTTTTGTATTTTTAGTAGAGACGGGGTTTCACCATGTTGGCCAGGCTGGTCTTGAACTCGTGATCTCAAGTGATCCATCCACAGCCTCCCAAAGTACTGGGATTATAGACGTGAGCCACTGTGCCCGGCCCAGAATTCCTCTTTATACTGAAGAGAAACTTGTTTCTCAATAACTTCCTCCCAATGGTTAACATTCTAGAGTCCCCCTTCCACGTGACAACCTGTCAAACATCTAAAAGCTGCTTTATGTTTCTCTGTTCTCTCTTCTGATCTAGGCTAGACACCCCAAGTCTCTTCCTTGTCCGAGGGTGCTATCATTTGTGAAGCATGCTTCACATAATCAAGTGCGTTACTTGTCATGCTGGATGATGAGGGCTTGGTCCAGGGTTCAGTGAAGCATGCGTTTCCTGTGATTTGGACATTCTGCTTACATGGATGCACCCTGACAATACATTCACCTTTTTTTATTTTCTTCTTCTTCTTCTCCTTCTCCTCCTCCTTCTCCTCCCTTCTCCCTTCCTCTCTCTCTCTCTTTCTTTCTTGTTTCTTTTTTTTTTTGAGATGAAGTCTCGCTCTGTTGCCTAGGCTGGAGTGCAGTGGCACAATCTCAGCTCACTGCAACCTGTGCCTCCTGGGTTCAAGTGATTCTCCTGTCTCAGCCTCCTGACTGGCTGGGATTACAAGCACCCACCACCACGCCTGGCAAATTTTTTTTTTTTTAAATAGATATGGGGTTTCCCCATGTTGGCCAGGCTGGTCTCGAAGTCCTGACCTCAGGTGATCCACCCACCTCAGCCTCCCAATGTGCTGGGATTACAGGTGTGAGCCACTGCGCCCAGCCCACCTTTTCGTTCTGTTAAACAGTCACAGTATACTCTTGAGCTGGTTTTTAACTTCACTACCAAAAGTTTGAGGCTTTTAATTTATTTTATTTTTTAGAACTGTGGTTCAGAAGGAGAGGTACTTTTTTAGTGTGTTGTGTTGGAGCCCTTAATTTTCTGAATCTAAACACAGGAGTTTACACTGATTCCAGTTAAATGACAAGTTGGCAGTTCCCACTCTGGTATTGCGTTCTGATTAAATGCTTCAAAATTGTATCTCAAAGTTTATCTAACACCATGCCACCTGTAAAGGTAGTAAGTAAAACAGTTTTAGGCAGGGCTGTGGTTTCTTCTACACATCATGTATTCTGTGGTTTCCAGGGCTCCCTCCTTAAGAATGGTCTTCCAATTGGGATGGGTGGATTTGAAAGGAACTAAGGGATCAGCTGGGAAAGAAAGCACAAGGTGCATCTGAAGCAAACCAGGAACGTGCAGATACTCCGTCCTATGGGAGGAGGAATTGTACTGCCACACAGGGTTGCACAGACGTGGGTTAACAAGGGAAGCTTCCTGGAGCGGACCTTGCCGTGACACAAGCGTGAGTACACCCATGGGCGTCGTGGGACCAGCATGTCTAAAACTGGAGTTGCCCTGGAGAGTGCAGGACTTAGCAGTGTCATTGCAGAGTAAAGTAGGTGGAAAAATCAGGATTCAACATGCCAAGCATGCAACAGGGATCAACGCTTTCCTCAGCAGAGTGATGATAGGTTGGTGTTAGCTAGATGGTTCTGTCTGGTTAGTAGAAAAAGTTTGGGCTCCATAGCAGGAGGCCTGGGCCTAAGTCCCATCATACCATATCTGCTAGTGTGACTTGGGCATAGAGTTGTTATGAGGAATAAGAGATGTGTGTGAAGCACCCAGTATTTTGCCTGGCACAAAAGGAAAACACACCCAATGCTGGCTCCTCTATGAGTCAGTGCCACACCCCTCTGGGGGGGCCACACCTGGTTCCCCATGTGCAGGAGGGCCCCGCCTTCCCCCAGACAGTCCCCAGGCTTTGCCTAAAAAATTCCAGGGTGGTGGAATGGAGTTTCCATTCCTCTTAGTAGCCATAATAAAAGCTCTAAGCAGCCTGGCAGGCTTTTTAGCAGTTTTTCTTTTAAAGAGATATTAGCAAACGTGACAGAACCATCCCTCCTTCCCCTTCAGGATCCTGAAATAACCCTCTGGTATGTCTTCACCCTAGAAGCCTGCGTGTGTCCATGCAGCCTGGGAGCAAGGGCGTTTGAGTCAGATGCTGTGTGCACGTTTCATCTCCACAGTTCATCAGGCTGTGACCTTGGTTGTCTTGGACTTTGGCTTTTCCTGTCTCCTAAGATGGGCCAACACCATTTGTTTCTGCATTATTTTGAGAATTGAAGGAGAAGACAGAGATGAAGGCCCTGGCCTGGTACTCGGTAGGGAACAGGACCCAGTGGATGTTAGATGCCTCCTCTGTCTTGCTGAGACTGGGCATTTCTCTGAGTACAGAGCCTGGGAGACAGGGCAAGTGGGAGATGGGGTATGAGAGGCCCTCAGTGGGGAATACTGGTCATTTTGGAAACAGGAATATTCCATAGCTGCGTGAAAATGCAGCTTTTTTTTTGCTTAATCATCAGAACCCACAATCCTAAGTTAATCCTGCATTACAGAATTCTGCCAGACTTCATATCCAAAAACCCCTGGTGCTCTATCTCTTTCTCTTCCCTTCACCCCATACAATCCTGCGGGATCGGGAAATGCTCATGTCATGGGGTAGAGAAACCGGAGGTTTGCCAAGCCCTTGAGGCTCCTAGATCAACGATGCCTAAAGTCACTAACTTCCCTGAGGTTGCAGAATGAATGTCTTTTTTCTTCCCCACTGGAAAAGCCATAGACAACCATTAAAGAAAACTTGAAAAATACAGGGAAGTTGATGGATGTGTGGCCAGTTGGTGCTGTCTGTCTTCTTGGTGACCAGGAGTAATTTGGACCATCTGGGAAACCAGACCTCTTTTCACCCAGGCTGTTTCGTGTGCATCACTTCTGAGGCTGTGTGCTCAGTCAAGACCTTGCCAGAGAGTTGGGGGATTAGCCTTAGGTCGAGAATATTCTGAGCAGTAGTAAGAAATTTAAAAATCATCCATAATTTCATCACTCTTATTTTAAGAGATTAGTTTATTTCCTTCTAAACCTTCCTCTAAGTTAGTGTATGTGTGTTTATAGCTGCATACAATTTTGTATGATGCTTTTTTTCCTATAATATTATATCCTAAGGAGCACTTGAAGTCGAATGACTTTAGTAAATCATTGATGAGAACATTTTGAGTGTCTTTCCATTGCACTCCCAACTAGCCTTCTCCACCTCTTCACTTTAAAAGCAACAACTAGTTGAAACGTGACGCTATCCAAGTCTTTCCGGAGAAAATAGTTTCTGGAGTGAGATCATTGTTGTTTGACAATTTGGGAAGGACTTAAACTGAGTCCAGCTCCAGGCAGGACTTGATAACATGTTCATGCAGTGGCTTCTTTCACAGCGTTATAGCACCAGCCCTTCCTTGTCTCTCAAACCTTACAGCTCAGGAGGGGCTGTGAATGGATGGGTAAGGAATTCCAGTCCCTGGGTCCTTGGCACCTGTGGTCAGCATGGGGCTCCCACTCCAGAATTGCGTGCGGTGGTTTTGAGCTCTTGGGTCACGGCTACATCTGGAGTTGTTGTGGCAGAGAAGCCTGGTTCCCAGCCACCACTCTGCTCTTGAAGGTGCTGACTCAGAGACTCCCAAGCAGCTGACTTCAGCATTCTCTCACAGCTTTACACCCCCTCTTCCCTGCAGCCTGTCTTGGAAGGAAATCGTGTGGTTGTGGTCTGTCTTCAGAGTGGGGTTGAGGGGTGCACTTGAAGAAGTGGCTGAGGCAGAGCCAGGGCCAGAATAGGTAGGGTCACCCCAGAGAAACTCCTTCCACTTCACTGGACTCTCTATCAGTAGGAGGCTTACAGTCCTTGTCCCTGCCAAGACAGGGCTAGGGGCAAAGCGCAAGACATTACAGGTTTGCAATATGTTATCCATCATCAAAATGAGCAGTGAACAAATCCGACTAAGGTCTGGAAGCAATTGAACAACTCTGTTATTACTTTTGTGACACATTGTCATGGGAATGTGTGTGAGCTTGGGGCTCTTGTGTCTCTCTGCGGTTTCTAGAGGCAGCTTGACTTAGAGAATGGTTCTGTCCACAGACTGTTTCTGTGTGTGCGAGGGGAGCTTCCTGGGGCCATCATGAGGATTTCTTTTCTTTTGAGTCTTGTAAAGTATTGACCCATAGAATATGAGAAGCAGGACATGTTCTGTTCAGTTGTTTTTCATGTAATAAAAGATTCTTGCTCAAACTTTGAGTTTCTTTGTTAGTTTCTGTGTCCAAACGGTGCATTTTCTGGGATTTGAGCTACTCCCTTGTGGTACATTGCTGAGGTCAGTTTCAACCCAGATGCTTTCAACCTTCTCTACACTTAAAATGACTGCACTGGAGTACATTGAATCCTTTGCTAATGGTCAGCCTCATTCTTGGATTCCACATAATGAGGAAATTTAAATCAAATAGGATATAGAATTTTGAACACAGCCCTTTTGGTCTCGTGGCTGTAAGATCTCAAAAGCACCTCTGAGTAAGGTCTCATGTATACGTCTCACCTTTATTTTACCCAAAGTTTGAGCAAGAATCTTTTATTACTATGTGGCAGGCAATTAGAAGTCAAGGGGCATCCTCCGTTCTCTCCCAAACAAAAAAAAAAAGAACAAGAAGAAGCATGGTACTAGTAGCATCATTCCTAGCAGGCCAGGGCCAGCATCCAAGCATGGGTTCTGGGTCTGGGCTAACAGTTCCCGGCCGATTTAGCAAAGTTCTGATAACCCTGTCTAGTTAAAGGCAATTCTGTTAACCCTGTCTAGTCAAAGGCAGTTCTGTTAACCATGTCTAGTCAAAGGCGGTTCTGATAACCCTGTCTAGTCAAAGGCGGTTCTGATAACCCTGTCTAGTCAAAGGCGGTTCTGATAACCCTGTCTAGTCAAAGGCGGTTCTGATAACCCTGTCTAGTCAAAGGCGGTTCTGATAACCCTGTCTAGTCAGAGGCGGTTCTGATAACCCTGTCTAGTCAGAGGCGGTTCTGATAACCCTGTCTAGTCAGAGGCGGTTCTGATAACCCTGTCTAGTCAGAGGCGGTTCTGATAACCCTGTCTAGTCAGAGGCGGTTCTGTTAACCCTGTCTAGTCAGAGGCGGTTCTGATAACCCTGTCTAGTCAGAGGCGGTTCTGATAACCCTGTCTAGTCAGAGGCGGTTCTGATAACCCTGTCTAGTCAGAGGCGGTTCTGATAACCCTGTCTAGTCAGAGGCGGTTCTGATAACCCTGTCTAGTCAGAGGCGGTTCTGTTAACCCTGTCTAGTCAGAGGCGGTTCTGATAACCCTGTCTAGTCAGAGGCGGTTCTGATAACCCTGTCTAGTCAGAGGCGGTTCTGATAACCCTGTCTAGTCAGAGGCGGTTCTGATAACCCTGTCTAGTCAGAGGCGGTTCTGATAACCCTGTCTAGTCAGAGGCGGTTCTGATAACCCTGTCTAGTCAGAGGCGGTTCTGATAACCCTGTCTAGTCAGAGGCGGTTCTGATAACCCTGTCTAGTCAGAGGCGGTTCTGATAACCCTGTCTAGTCAGAGGCGGTTCTGATAACCCTGTCTAGTCAGAGGCGGTTCTGATAACCCTGTCTAGTCAGAGGCGGTTCTGATAACCCTGTCTAGTCAGAGGCGGTTCTGATAACCCTGTCTAGTCAGAGGCGGTTCTGATAACCCTGTCTAGTCAGAGGCGGTTCTGATAACCCTGTCTAGTCAGAGGCGGTTCTGATAACCCTGTCTAGTCAGAGGCGGTTCTGATAACCCTGTCTAGTCAGAGGCGGTTCTGATAACCCTGTCTAGTCAGAGGCGGTTCTGATAACCCTGTCTAGTCAGAGGCGGTTCTGATAACCCTGTCTAGTCAGAGGCGGTTCTGATAACCCTGTCTAGTCAGAGGCGGTTCTGATAACCCTGTCTAGTCAGAGGCGGTTCTGATAACCCTGTCTAGTCAGAGGCGGTTCTGTTAACCCTGTCTAGTTAAAGGCAGTTCTGATAACCCTGTCTAGTTAAAGCCACTCCTGAGATTAAGGCCACATCCTAGGCTTCTTGACTCTTGTCAAACAAAACACCTGCCATGGCAACAGTTATCCAGATACAGTTTTAAAAGTGTTTCTCACCATATTTATATTGTTTTCTTTAGTAATGTAATTTTCACACTCAGAATCAGTAGCCTGGCAGCCGTCCTTGGGGCTCAGGTTGCTGCTGTATCTCTGTCATTGCAATTGGCATATTTCACAAATGGCTTGTTACAGTACTGTCTTGAAGGTGACTTCCATGACAGAGGTCTCCAAAAGTACCTTTTGTTTGTTTTACAATAGAGACAGGGTCTCCCTATGTTTCCCAGGCTGGTCTTGAACTCCTGGGCTCAAGGGATCCTCCCACCTCAGCATCCCAAAGTGCTAGGATTACAGGTCTGAGCTAAAAGTACCTTTTGAATGAACCTAGGCTGGACATATTTAATCTCCAGGAAAGGGACCTCTTGGCAGGATCACCACCACTGTGTGCTTCTGGTAGGAGCACCTAGAAATTCTTCGGGTTTTTTCACATACATTAATCTCTGCTCAGTTTGATGTTCACCCAGATGCTTCTAGCAAATACAAGGATGCAAAATATATCTTCCACAGGAAGGACCCCTCTCTCCCAAAGGAAGCCCCCAGGCAGAGCTTCAGAAACCAGTGTAGCAATTTCCCTTACCTGGTATCATAGAAATCCTAAATATGTACATGACAGTGAGGGCCAGGAGAGTCCGGTTCCATTTTGGAACAGGTGGCTCTGAGAACAGAATTTGTTACAGGATTCTTCAGTAACTCATCATAAGGAATGAGACACCTGTGAGTGGTAGTAATACTTCTGCAGGCTACCACGTACAGGGTGGCTAAGGACAATGCATGTTCCTTAGGCAATGATAACACAGGCAGAGCTGCCAGAAACCATGGCAGTAACCAGCACAGAGATGTTTCTCCTTGTCCCCTGCCAGGAATACTGCAAAAGCCTTTAGAGGCCTCCTTATATAATGGAAAGGAAATGGCTCTGGAATTTCCTACCCCAGAAGGGAGTTGTGAGGAACCAACAGGACAGTGTCTATAAAGCTCCTTGCAGGGGCCCTACCACCAGGGGCACTGAGTATATTTTTCTCCCCCGGGGCTGGGTGCAGTGGCTCACACCTGTAACCCTAGCACTTTGGGAGGCCAAGGTGGTGGGTGGATTGCTTGAGCTCAGGAGTTCAAAACCAGCCTGGGTAACATAGCAAGGCCCCGTCTCTACAAAAAATTATCCAGGCATGGTGGCGTGTGCCTGTGGTCCCAGCTACTTGGGAGGCTGAGGTAGGAGGACCACTGGAGCCCAGAAGGTGGAGGTTGCAGTGAGCAGAGATCATGCCACTGCACTCCAGCCTGGGCAACAGAGCAAGACCCTATCTCAAAAAAAAAAAAAAAAGAGCTATCTGTTTCTAGCCACTACTCAAGTTCACTTGAAAAGCAAAAAGGTACCAAATTGTAGGGCTTGTGATCCTATAATGAAATAATACATCTTTTAAACTAGTCACATGAGCCAGCTGGGCTGCTCATCTCTGGAGTCAGCCAGCCTCTTGCAGCTTGTGGTTGGAGAAACCAGAGCTTTGGAAAAACCAGAGCTTAGTAAGTATCTGATCTGAGACAATGCAGCTACAAATATAGAAACAACAATCTCTCATTGAAGGTCATTTTGTGTTAGGCAGGTTGCTGCATTCATCTCATTCAACAAAAGTTCATTGAGCGTTCTTCATAAGCCAAGTGTTGTACTGGCTGCCAGGGATATACAGCTGGAGTTTCAGTCTTGAATTAATTTCTAAATTTTTATTGCCCCTGGAATTTTCCACTTCTTTCTTGAAACTTTCTGGAAATAAGGAATGGGAACATGAATCATCTTATGCTTCTACCTTTACCATTAAGACTTCTTTGAGATCTTGAAAGACAAAAAACAGAGTGTTGGGAAGCATTTTGAGAACCTGCCTTCTCGGTGCTCTGAGCTTAGCTCAGTAAATGGAGCTTTTTCACTGCTTTTGCTTACCGCTCAGATCCTGTGTCCAGAAACATCTTAAGCAACAATTCACCTGTGATTCTGAAAATCTAAGCGTTGGGCCTCCCCTCACCGTCCCACTCCCTCTACTTAGGAAGAGAAGTTTGCCAACAGAACCCCGTGGCGAGGATTCTGTGTGTGCCTTTGAACTTCAGGCCTGGTGCTTAAGGTCACGAGGTTTGGCTTGTGAAGGAAATAATGACATTTAAAAAGCAAAGGAAAGTACTAGGAAGACCTAAGAATGCCAAAGATAAGATCTTAGTCATGTAGGCTTGAGGTGTGCGTGGTATTAGCCTTTTGATATTATAGGATAACATGCTGGAAACTTTTCCATGTTTAAATTTAAAACTGTGAGAGACCTCTGGTGGCTGAAATGGTTATTCTTAAGGATTCTTTTGTTCCATTTCTTAGGGGTTGAGCTGACACTTTGAGTTTGGTCTTGGTTTTAGATACTTCAACATAGTTGGTTATTTACAGGCTTCTGCTGCTCAGTGCCTCTGGTGAGGTGGGGCAGGTCTGGATGGAGCTATGTTGATCTTTGGGGTGAGTGTCTGTCATGCTCAGAACACTGACCTAAGAGCTCCACCCAGATCCAAAAGCTCCCTTGAGTCTGGAAGTTGCTCCAAGTCTGATCTGCTCAAAGGTTTCCTTCCTCTTTCCAGGGCTCCCTCCTGGGCTCTGACTGTTGTTCTCTGACCCAGAGGAGGGAACCTGCTGTCACTCCACCCCATAGCCACCACTCCCAAAGTCTATCAGGTGAGTCCAGATGTCCCTAAGCTAAAGAAATATGCAACCCAGGTTGGTATGTTATTTGACGTCATGAAGTTGGCCTTTAGCAACAGGCAAAACTATAGTAACACAAGGAGAATCTTTTTTTTTTTTTTAAGAGACAGGGTCTTGCCCTGTTGACTAGGCTGGAGTGCAGTGGTACACTCAGTAGCCTACTGCAGCCTCAAACTCCTGGGCTCAAGCAATCCTCCCTTCTCAGCCTTCCAAAGTGTTGGGATTACAGATGTGAGCCACTGCACCCAGCTGAGAATCTGTTTTAATGGCCTTTTCACTATATTGAGATCATTTCCTTGGAAACAAACAGGCTCGTTTGTTAGTGTTTTGCACTCATCATGAGCAAGCCCTAACTGGGAGGATTTTTTTGCATCTCATGCCTTTCCTAGCAGAGCCTGTCACACACGGTGTGTCTACAGTGCATTGCCTGCTTCGACTATTTACATTGGGGAAAATTGAAGCCCAGAATCTGAACTAGGGCTCCTTGTGATTTTTGATTATAGAGTCAGACAGGGAGAACCTTGCACTGCCTTTTGCAGGTAAACAATTAGCTCATTTCTACCTAAATTTACTTTTTTTGGTTAACTTAAGACCCTTCCCACCACCCTGGCACTTAGCCTACATTTTCCAAGTCCTACCTTATAAGCGTTCTTTATCTCTGTCAAAATTTTAGGAAATATTTAGCCCGTTTTCCTAAGTGAGTTTCTCTAGGTTACATAAGGATATGTCAGACACAGTGAACCAGGCCTGGAGGATACACATGGACCAAGCAACTGCCTGAGGTACTCATCGTTTCGTGACTATAATTTGATGAAAGACATAGAGCTCTTCTTAGTATTCAGTGGGTATCTGGCTGTTGTTATTGGTGATGCTGAACCTACAAGTGCACCTTTGTTTTTTTGGGGTTTTTTTTTTTTTTTTGAGATGGAGTCTCGTTCTGTTCCCCAGGCTGGAGTGCAGTGGCACGATCTTGGCTCACTGCAACCTCTGCCTCCCGGGTTCACGCAATTCTCCTGCATCAGCCACCTGAGTAGCTGGGATTACAGGCGCCTGCCACCACACCTGGCTAATTTTTTGTGTATTTTTAGTAGAGACAGAGTTTCACTATGTTGGCCAGACTGGTCTCGAACTCCTGACCTCGTGATCTGCCCACCTTGGCCTCCCAAAGTGCTGGGATTATAGGCGTGAGCCACCGCGCCCGGACACAAGTGCACCTTTGTTAGTCTCTTCTAATTTATAAAACGCCCTTGACGTGAATGATCTCATTTACTTGTTATTACTGTGCCAGGAGATTGGTGTGCTGTCACTCACCCTGCCCTTGTGGGAGGCTACGGCTGAGAAGACTGGCATGTAGGCCACACTCCCCACTGAAATTTTGGGCCAAAAGTCTTGACCCAAACAACGTCTACCTCCCCTAACCCTAGGGGGCTGCTCTTCTGCTGAGCAGCTGCTTCCCTGCCGCCTCATGGCTTGACTGGGGTCCCGGCAGCCAGGCTTCAGTGTGGCCTACACATGGGACATTCCAAACCACCTCCGTCCTTTGAGAAGGCAGCTAGTCTCTGAACAGTGGCCAGCCTGGGGTGGAATATGGGAACTGTTAACCAACCACAACACCATGACAGTTTCCAGTTTGAAAATAGTAACCCTCGCATCCTGTTGCGGTGACCAAGAGGGTGGCGAGTTCACACTTTCCAGATGTGATTGGCATTTCCCCAGAAGTGCCTGCCAGGCGGATTGGGCAGGTTAAGCCAAACCTAAGGTGTTGACCTGAAGTACCTCTGTTTCTTTTGGCTACAGCCTTCTGTTTTTCTTTCTGAATCAGCATTCTCAGGGTCCTAGAAGAGGACTATGGTTGATTTCACTCAGCTGGTTTTAGACTTCTTTGAAACTGGAAAGGTGAATTCATTAAAGAACACAGGATTTGTCCATCTTCCCTCCACTGCCTTAATCTCCCTGTGACATGGCAGCTGGGCATCGGCATTGATTTTGTTTGTTGTTGTTGTTGTTTGAGATAGGGTCTCACTGTCTCTCCTAGACTGGCGTGTGAATCACAGCTCATTGCAGGCTTGAACTCCTGGGCTCAAGCTATCCTCCCACCTCAGCCTTCCAAGTAGCTGGGACTACAGGCATGTGCCACCATGCCTGGCTAATTTTTAATTTTTTCGTAGAGATGGGGTCTCACTGTTTTGCCCAGGCTGGTCTACAACTCAAGGGATCCTCCCACCTCAGCCTCCCAAACTGCTGGGATTACAGGCATAAGCCACTGCACCCAGCTGGCATCAGCATTGAGAAATCAGGTGGCTAAGACCAGAAAGGCAAAGATAGCCTTTGAGACGGTTCTGTTGCTTTTTACAATGGAGTCTTAGATTTCTAGCCAGTACCATCATCTCAGAAAGTTAATGCTGAGGTTTGGAGAACCTTGGCTTAAAGCAATATCACCTTATTTTTTTTTATAGCAGTGGTATTTTGCTACTCAGATACAGAATGCCCCATGTAGTCCAGCCGATGAAGGACAAAGGGTGAGGGGCTTGTCAGGGCATTGCCTGTTGGGAAACACCATCAGCTGACTGATGGGGCTGGTTTGTTAACAATATGCCGCGGACAGAGGAGCAGCTGTCCCTGAGACTAAAGATGTGTCATTGTTTGTATCTCTAAAGAGCTTTTTGCTGGAGAAACCCAAACAATGTGCAAGAAAAGTGGGAGATGCAAGGCTGCGATTTCAGTGTGACCACAACCATGTTCTTCCAGAGAAAAGAGAATTCTTAATTGTCTTTTTCTCATGTTACTCTGAAGTCTCTGGGTTTCTTGGACATTTGTTAAGAATCTGAAATATCTCAAGAATCACATTTAAGTTCTTCAGGTATCAATAATACTTCTGTTCCTTTTCTTATGTCCAGCATTGGATGTCTTCCCCCAGGGTTTGAGGTTTGTCCTGGTGATATTGTCAACCACAACCAAAGGACAGCATGTTCTGAGCATCTTCTACACGCCTGACACCATGCTAGGTGTGGGGCACAGAAACATAAAACAGAGGCTTTGATTGCGTGTGGGTTTGTAGGCTAATGAGATGAGGCAGACCAGCAAACAAACAAGTCCATCAGTGTGCCAAGTGATTCTATACCTACGTCTCTTAACTAAGTCTTCTGGTCAGCTTTTGAACATGCTCAGGTCTGTTTAATCTCTCTCTCTCTCTTTTTTTTTTTTTTTTTTTTTTTGAGACGGAGTCTCGCTCTGTTGCCCAGGGTGGAGTGCAGTGGTGCAATCTTGGCCCATTGCAACCTCCGCCTGCCTGGTTCAAGCAATTATCATGTCTCAGCCTCTGGAGTAGCTGGAATTACAGGCGCCTGCCACCACGCCCGGCTAATTTTTGTATTTTTAGTAGAGATGGGGTTTTATCATGTTGCCCAGGTTTGTCTCGAACTCCTGACCTCAAGTGATCCACCCACCTCAGCCTCCCAGAGTGTTGGGATTACAGGCGTGAGCCACCATGCCCGGCCTGTTTAATCTTAAAATATTAAAAAAGAAAAAAAAGAAAGAAAGGGAAAATAATAGAAAATAAAAACCCTGTCATCAGTCTGCACCACACTCACTGCAAGCTCCCCTTTCCTCCATATTCACAACCACATTTTTTTTTTCTTTTTTTTGAGACGGAGTTTCACTCTTGTCGCCCAAGCTAGAGTGCAATGGCACAATCTCAGCTCACTGCAACCTCCTCCACCTCCTGGGTTCAAGCAATTTTTCTGCCTCAGCCTTCTGAGTAGCTGGGATTACAAGCGTGTGCCACCACACCCAGCTAATTTTTGTATTTTTAGTGGAGACAGGGTTTCACCATGTTGGTCAGGCTGGTCTCAAATTCCTGACCTCAGGTGATTCTCCCGCCTCGGCCTCCCAAAGTGCTGGGATTACAGCCGTGAGCCACCGTGCCCAGCCCACAACCACATCCTTAAAACAGTTGTCTACACTTGCTGCCTTCCTTCACTGACTCCCTCTCAGTCCTTAACTCAGTCTAATTTGGATTCAGTCCTGTGACTCCACTAAAATAGTCTTCCCATGTCCCCAGTGACCTTGTCTTGATAAATCTATGGGCTCTCAGCCCTCATCGTACTTGACTTCTCGGCTGTAGTGGACTCCGTTGGCCATGCCCTCCTTGAAATGCTCTCTTCCCATAGTGGTAAGGAGTATGGGCTTCTGGTCAAACAGATATGGGTGAAATTCCAGCCCTGCCACCTACCTGCTGTGTGGTTTTGGATCAGTTACTTGGCTTCTCTGTGCCTCATTTCTATATCTGTAAAAATTAGAGTAATAATTGTACCACAACATAGGGTTATTATTGGGAGGACTAATGAATGAGATAATCCATGTAAAATGCTTAGAACCATGCCTCGCCTATTGTAAGAATTCCATAAAGTTTTACTATTATTAAGAGATTTTAATGGCTTGTTATCTCAGTGGAATTACAACTTCCCAGAAGGCAGTAAACATTGAAGTACAACATACATTTCTCTATTGCACATTGACTAAGAATATCCCATGTCCTATAAGATAGACAAGGCACTATTCCTCTCCTACTGGTGAGGAACCTGGACCGCTGCCCACAGCCAGCAGGTAGGTGGGTGAGGTTGCACGGCAGCACTGCTCAGAGAGGACTTCCCCAGCAAGTCTGAGGAGTTGCACAGTGGAGGGACAGGGATAGGACCTAGGAGAGCAGGGGAGACGTTCCACCAAAGCTGAGTTCTAGGGGTGGTTTTAAGCAAGGGAGAGCTGTGCTTTCTTTGTGAAAGAAACAGCCCTTAGTTGGCAAGTTCTCCAATGCATAACTCCCCCAGGCATGGTAATGCTGTTTACAAGCGCAGGAAACCCATGGTGAGAACAAAACTTTTCAAGAGCAACTTCTCTCTTGCCCTTGGAGATTTATTTAGTTGCTACTGAGGTGCCTGGACCCAAGCTGAGATCCCTTGTGAGGAAGTTGGGAACACGTCCTGTGCGTTTCAGAAATCTCTGTTCTTTACTTTTTCTACAATCAACACCAGCACATGGAGGGGAGAGGGAAAATAGTGGGATGGGCATATTGCTGTGGGGACCAGGCTTGGAGACACCCTGAGAACACCAGGCAGCACAGGTCAGGTGGGGACACACGAGGGCATGGGAGGACAAGGGGTCTGTTACGTAATCCCAACCTGCTTGTCAGCAGAGCCAGGAATAGCGCTTCTTAGGAGGGATTTCCCCCCAGGAAATCTTCAAAGCCCCAGACAGAGGCCGCAGTCCTTGGAAGCTTATGTATGTGTTTGGCCACAGTGAGCCCATCCCGGGTCTGGCTCTGGTGCTCCAGAGAGGACTGTGGTTGGCCCAGCATGTGAGCGCCAAGCAGGTCTGTCACCGAGCTCTCCCCAGCCACTGCGCATTCCGCACTTTGTAATCTCATCCCAGGCTGCCCTGGCTCGGCAGTGTCACACGGCCCTCAGCCACACAGACACCAGCGAACTGAAGCACACAGCTGCTGACTTGGCTTCCTGCTCTGCCTACGACAGTTGATGGAGAGTTCCAGAAACTGGGCCCAGAGTCTCACACAGAGCTGGCTAGAACACACATGAAATCTGACTTTGGGTGATGATAGGGAAATTACCTCCCATGTGTAAAGGCTTCCAGCCACACTCCCTCTATGTCTTTGAGCCACTTCCTGTTTACATGGCCACCTTTTCGGAGGAGAGGGGAAGAGGGAGGAGGAGGGGACACTGCCGGGGAGAGGGGAGGGTTCCCTGGGGGATGTGAGGAAAGTGGGGAAACACGGGGGGGGGGACACTAAGGCAGAACTGAGATGAGACGATGAGAGGAGGTGAGTGTATGTGCAGGAGACACTGACCGTGGGCATGGGGGTGGGGGACAGGGCCGTGAGAAGAGAGAAGGGGACGGCCCTCCTGTCTCAGGCGCTGAGCCCAGTCCTCCCTCTTCAGCCTTCTGTGAGCCAGAATGGACTCCCGGAGGGGATGGAGCTGTGCTGAGGGAAGCCAAGGAAGCCACAGTGCATTCCAGAGCTAGTGGAAACTATTTTTGAGCCAGCTATGGAGAGATGATTTGTACCCTGAGGGCCTGACGTCTGCCTGGTTATAACACTGAGCTGGGTGAGGATGGGAAGAAGAGAACCCCTCCTCATTTCTGCCCCATCCCAAGCTGGCTCCTTCCTTCCTGCAGCCCCACTGCGGTCCTGCTAGCCCTCTGCGGTCACCCATGGCTGCCTTGGGCCTCTGCAGACCCAGAGTGGCGTTTGGGGGTGAATGGAGCAGTGGCTTTGTTCCTGGGCCAGAGTTGAGGGTCCCCGTGCCCTGCCTCAGAGGCCCTGCTGAGGGTCCCCATGGTCCCTGTGCCCTGCCTCAGAGGCCTCCCTGAGGGTCCCCGTGCCCTGCCTCAGAGGCCTCGCTGAGGGCCACTGTGCCCTGCTCTGGCATGCCTCAGGGAGCTCCCCACGCAGGGCAGAAGGGGGCCTCTGTGGTGTGAGCCTCCCCGCCAAGGCTCAGACTGGCCGAGCAGCTCCCTCAGGCTCTGGGTGTTGTCAGTCCTGGCTGTTCTTGCTTCCGACTGGGCATGGCCTCGGTCACCTCATGAGGCCCTTTAACTGTGGAAGTCTGTGATTTAAGCTGACAAAAAGGGTACCCCTGAACATCCTCCAAAAAGACCTGTGCCAAGCTCCCCCCACACCCCGCCATGATAAGGCAGTGATGTTTAATGAGCCAACACTATTCTAAGTGGTTTATAGAGGTTAAGCGAGCTAACTCACACAACAACCCTACCCGCAAGGCATTTTTACTGGCCCCATTTAAATATACAAAGGGGTGAAACGGCAGCCACTGCTGGTAAATAGCAGATTCAGGAGGCCAGCCCGGGCAGCCTGATTCCAGAATCCCTGTGTTAACCACCGCACTCCACTGCCCCCTTTTCCAGGTGGTTCTTCATAGCCCAGCTCTGTTCTCCACTGCCCATGTTTCATGGTGAACAGGCTCCTCTTCATCCTCAGCCTTATGCACAACTTCCCACCTGCTCCTTCTCCTGGGTCTGTTGGTGCCTGAGACCACAGGGTAGGGGGAGGTTGGGGAGGCTGGTGGTGGGAGGCCTCCCACACCCAGGTCACACGTTTCTCGCCCCCCAGTACTGCCTTTGGCTCATTGCCTTCCATCCCCTTTGCTCCCTCTTTTGAGATTGTCTCATCCCTCCACTTTTCCTGTCACATACCTCCTGGTTACCCCCTACATTCCCCAAAGACCTGATCCTGCCTCACACTCTCGCCCTCTGCCCCGAGTTCTGCTGTTCTGGGTGCCTTGCCTTTCCCTGTGGACAAGCTGTACTACACGTGGGTCTCCGAGTTCCTAGAGTGTCAACTCCAGTGGCACCCACGGCAATGCCAGCTCCCGTGTCCTGATGCCCCATGTGTCAGAGATCACTTGGAAGAGCACTGATGTTTCTGACAGCATTCCTGCAAGGGAGGCATTATCCTCATCAACACAGGAGGAAACGGATCATCAGAGAAGTTTAGGGACCTGCCCAAGGTGACCCAGGGATCTGAACTGAGCTCCAGCCCACACCCTCAGCTTGTCACACAGCTGGTCACCCTGTTTCCCTGAACTCCTCTGCTGTTGGAACTTAAGGCTTCAGCATCTCCCCATGGCCACACCCTCGCCCTCAGCCCAGCCTCTCCTTCCTCCCACTCCATCTCTACTGTGATCTCTTCAGAGTTTGCCATTCCCTTGATTCCTTCATTTCCCCATCCTGCACGACTTTCTTCTGAATGGTTCTCTTTAATCTGAAGAATGCTCAAATGTATCCCATCTGCAAAATCCCCCATCCTCCTTGTCCCCCATCTCCGCCTGTCCCCACACAACTAGGTTACCTGTGGGAGTCCCCTACGCTCACTGTCACCACCTCCTTACACCCTGCAGGCTGGATTCTGTCCTCACTGCTTTGTGGTGCAGCCTGGTAGCTGCTTTAGGATTTGCCTGCCTTGACCTCCACAGAGCGTCGATGCTGGGGCTTCCTCTCACGTCTTCCTGGGCTGACAGGGCCACTGGCTCCCCTTCTGCCTCCCAGCCTGCCCCTTCCTCTGAATAGCCAGGATTCAATTTTATAAGAGGAGGCAAGAGGCTGTGTCTTGGCCCATAGCCCACACAAGCACTTTTGCTGATGGAAAGCTGTTGAATTCTATACAGCTGAAAATCTGTATAAATAGACACATTTACAACTTCCTGTCCATTTGGCTATCAATCATTGTAACAAAGGTACTAATAATAACAACTTGCATGTGTAGCAGTTCACAGCTTGCACAGGGATTTCACATGTCCTTCAGTATCCCTATCTATGTGTAATGAAAATATTTTTTCCGCAGGCACTATTAAATTCAACTCACTTTGCCAAGGTAGCATTAGATGTTAGCTTTGTTTTGATGAAGAGTCCTGACTTAGGTCCTCTGAGCACTGTCCGCCAGGATGTTGTTCCCAATCCCCATGATGGTGATTGATAGGTTATTGATCCTTGGGACAGGGCCAAATGACGCTGGTCCTTTTGATGACATGTGTTCCTCCTAGGGCAGTAGGAGGGTCTGGGGCTGACCAGAAGATGCAGGCAATCTCTGAGCACGCAGGCTGAGGGAAAGGCAGGTTGAGGCTCAACTGCAGGAGCTGAGACATTTGGATTGGGATAAAATGTGACCAGGCCTATGTAGCTTTTGACTGTCTGTGTGGGTCACGCTTTCTGAAGGAGTCTTGGAAGTCTTGGTTTCAACCAAGGTGGCCCAGTAGTTGTGACTTGTGTGCCAGCTCCCACCACTTGGTAGAACCTACTTGGAGGACTGCATTGAGGATTCTGAGGGCAAGCCCAGGCCCCTTGGAGAAGACTCCTATGAGGAGACAGCGATGCCTGCCACAAGTGTGGAGAAGGAGATGTGCAGCGTCTGCTGTCACTGCTTTAGGCTGTCTCTGAAAGGCAGGGAACTACCCAAGGTAAACTCAACTGGGACTATTATCAGAGTCACAAAGGACAAGCATTCTGGTGGCTTCAGTGATTTCATCAAGTGTGAAGCCTGGGGCTTATTTTCTGGTTTGGCTGGCTAGGGCTTTGCTTTGAAGTCATCAAATATTGGAGGCCAAAAAGCCATGCAGATGAAGGTTTTCTGATGTCCCACAGCCCCTCCGTGGCTCCCACTGGCTCACCCCCAGAAACGGGCTGGGCTCCACACACCACTGCTTTCCTGGCAGCTTCTGGCTGGGCTCAAGGGTGGTAGGAAGCTTTTAGGAATGGCCAGCAGCTCTGGCCTTGGGTCTTGTCCCTCTCCAAGGAACGGTGGTGACCTCTGGTGAGCCACCAGCTCTCACCCTCTCCTACCCTTGACTCCTGACTCCTCTTCTTATACCCTAGGTCAGGGGCACACTCAACCGCCCTGACCTTGGGCTAGGCTGTGGAACTCTCGGGCCTGCAAGGTATCAGACATACTTAAAGCAGCTAGGCTTCCCTGCCCCCCAGCCATCCCAGGGGAAATGAAGAGCAGCAGGCACCTTGCCTGGCTCCCCTCTGCAGCGAACAGGCCTTTTCACAAGGAAGGCCCGTTCCCTTAACACACATGCCTCACCCCAAGCCCAGGCCCTTCAGCAAAAGAATAGGCTACCTCCAAACCTTTGACACTTCGGCATATTGTGCCACATTGTATTTGGATAATTTTATGGTGCAGCCAGCAACAATTAGAGTAGGAAAGAAAACAACACCCGCCTGGCCTCTGTGCCATCTTTGTTGCTTAGCGCTGAGCATGCCTTTTACTTTTTATATGTTTGTGTTGTGGGGATCGTGTGATGGACAAGCCATCAGAGAGTGCCAGAGCCGTATTAAGTCTACCCTTGGAGTGCATCAGTGTCTGCAACTCACTTTGTAATGCATCTTTAAAAATACGGGTTGATGGAAGGGCAGACAGGTGGATAGATAAGCAGTCAAGCAGCATGTCACATGTGAAGGTAGGATCTGGGTGGGGAGGATATGTATGTGCACTGCACAATCCTTTCAACTTTGCTGCAGGTTTGGAAGTTTTCCTAACAAAATGTTGGGGGGGTGGGGAATAATCCCCTCACAGTGAGCCATTTTAATTGAAACCAGGCTCTTGACCAGTGTGCTCCCTGAGGCCAGAGGGTGAGGGAGTTGTGTGGATTGGATCCATTTCACCTGTGAAGGCTCCCCGTGGGGAGTTCCTGCTGCCAAGGCTCAAAAGTGGTGCTGGTCCCAGACTGGTGGAGAGGAGGGGCAGGACCGCCCTCTCCCTTCCAGGGATGAGCTCATGCTGCCCATTGCCCCAGCCTCTGCTATGGAACCCTTGAGCTGCGAGACACTGCCCTTTCCAGTGGCTTACCCCTCACACGCCCGCATCTACACAGTTAAGACTGCATTCCACAGCGGACTCCGGGCCCGAGTCTGGCTTTCCTTCCCTCTCCTGGAGGGCTTGCCATCTGCTTCAGCGCTGCCTGTGACATGGGAGGGCACCTGCTCAGCACACATTTGCTGTGGCTCTGAGACCCCTGGGTAAGCAGAGAGGCTGTCTGAGCACAGGAGGGTTGGGAGGCTTGGCTGTCCAGATGGTCCCCCTGCCGCCTACAGGTTCTGGGCACCAGAGAGTGGACGGAGCCAGGGGAAGCAGGGGCAGGAAGTTAAGTGGCGGGTGAAGAGGCTTTCTGGAGTTGAGTTCTGACCTATATTATATTGTGGGTCACACACATTGGTCGTCCAGGGAAGGTGCTGGGATCCAGTTAACAAGCCAGGTAACTGACTCAGATGTGGAAGTAAAATGAAAGGTCTCCCCACCCTGCCTCTCCAGTCACCCACTAGTTGATGAGTGGTGCTCAGCAAATGAAACTCTTGGTTGTATTAATATCAGCCTTCACATAATGGCATTAGGGAAAAAAATAATACAAAGTTGATTTTTTAAAAAATACCAATTGTAGCACTGCGTTCTGCCTCTGATTGTGTAGAAAATGGAGACTCCACTGTCAGGCCCTTGGTCCCCTTGGAAGACGGTGCTATCTAGTCTTTTCACAGTCCAGCACGCTCACACTCCAGAACAAACACTCACACTCCAACACACCCTCACACACACACTCCAACACACACAGATGCTCGCACTCACACACATCCTCCCTCACACTTGCACTCCAACACACATACACTCACACTTGTACACACTCATGCACACTTGCACCCACTCACAAACATACACTTAAATACTTCCTCACACACACTTGCACTCACACACTCATACACACTCACACTCGCTTTCTCACAAGCACACACATTCCTCTGAGCCGAGTGATATTCCTGCCCCTCACACCTGCTGAGTGGGGGCAGCCCCCGCCTCTCCACCCTTGCAGGCGATGGAGAGGACCCCCTGCAAGGAAGGGCCAGGGCATCCCCCTGCAGGTTCTAGTCCTGGCTGCCTGTGCTCATAGGAGGCAGTAGACTTTGGCACTGAGATCATGGACTCTGGAGCCAGACTCTCTGGGTTTGAGTCCTGGCTCTGCTGCCACTAGCTGTGTGACCATCAACCATTGCTTCACCTTTCTGGGTCTTGGTTTCACCCCTTATATAACAAGGACAATAATGCCTGCCCCATAAGTCACTGTGCGGATTCATCCCATTTCTACGTGTAAGGTGCTCATATAGGAAGCACTGGTGAGTGTTAGCTGCTGCTGCTGCTGCTGCTGTTCTCAGCATCTGCTCCTAAATCATCCATTTCTGGGTTTCGGGTCCCTGGGCAGGAATTCAGCTTCTAACTAGGACTCAGGGAGAACAACCGTGTTTTCTGCTATGGCTGTAACAGATGACCGCAGATTTAGTGACATAAAGCAACACGGATTTATTTTCTTACAGCTCTGGAGGTCAGAAGCCTGAAATCATTTTCACTGGGCTAACATGGAGGTGTCGGCAGGGCTGCATTCCCTCTGAGGCTCCCAGGGAGCATCGGCTTCCTGGCCTTTCCAGCCTCCAGAGCTGCATTCCTCGCATTCCTTGGCTCTTGGCATCCTCCCCATCTTCAGAGCAGCAGCCAGCATCCTGGCTTCTGTTGTCCCACTGCCACCTTCCTCTGTAGTCCAGTCTCCCTTGCTCCCTCTCAGAAGAACCTTGGTGATTACATTTAGGGCCCACAGAGACAATCCAGGAGAATCCCTCATCTCAAAATCCTTAACTTAATCTCATCTGTGAAAGCTCTTTTGCTGTAGAAAGTAACAGTGATACTCTGGGGATTGGAGTGGGAACATATTTGGGGGCCATTATTCACACAACTGAAGCAGGAGGAAGCTTCCCTGGGTCCTGGCCCTGTGGCCCAACTTGGCCAAGTTCTGGACCAACTTGGAGCACCAGTCTAGACCCAACCCAGCCACACCCGCTGCCAGGGTCCCCTGCTGTCCCTTCATGCTGGCTCTAGGCCCTCTGTCTATCTCCCCAAACAGGCTCTGAGGGCAGAGTTGGTGTTCCATTCTCTGCTGAATCCCAGTCCTGGCATGTGGGGCACCAGATGGTTATGTGCTCATGTGTAAAGGTGAGCAGGTGCTGATGTGCCACATGTATCCTTTTAGGCCATGGCGAGTGTCACTGCGGGGAATGCAAGTGCCATGCAGGTTACATCGGGGACAACTGTAACTGCTCGACAGACATCAGCACATGCCGGGGCAGAGATGGCCAGATCTGCAGCGAGCGTGGGCACTGTCTCTGTGGGCAGTGCCAATGCACGGAGCCGGGGGCCTTTGGGGAGATGTGTGAGAAGTGCCCCACCTGCCCGGATGCATGCAGCACCAAGAGGTACTGGTTCCACTGACAGCCCCACCTTACTTCTCACCCAGGCCAGGCCTGTGGTCCAGCCAGGCAGCCCTCAGGGCCGGCTAGCCTCCACTCCTCACCTCCTGCATCTCCCACCCAGCAAGCCTCGCTGGGGAGCCGCATTCTTACCAACCGTAACTGAAACTGTGGCTTTCAAATGCTGGTTCCATAAGGGTTTTGTAAGAAAACAAAAACAGAACAAGAAATACAAAACTGCTACTCTGTTCCTAAACACGTTTAGAAATCACGAAATCACAGAGTTAAATGAAATTAAATTGGTGTTGGTACCAAAAATAGCACCTTCTCAGAGCCTTGAGTGTACTATTGTGTGCTTTCACAGGAGAATACAGTGTGCATCTTTTTTCAAATGAATTAAATCCCCCACACTGATATCTCCCAAACAGTGTTTCACAGAACCCTTATGGGAAATGCTGACAAACATCATCAGAAGGTAAATTGGAAAGAGGCCGGGCATGGTGGCTCACACCTGTAATCCCAGCTCTTTGGGAGGCCAAGACGGGTGGATCACTTGAGGTCAGGAGTTTGAGACCAGCCTGGCCAACATGGTGAAACACCCGTCTCTACTAAAAATACAAAAATTAGCGGGGTGTGGTGGCACGTGCCTGTAATCTCAGCTGCTCCGGAGGCTGAGGCAGGAGAATGGCTTGAACCTGGGAGGCGGAGATTGCAAGATCGCACCACTGCACCCCAGCCTGGGCAACAAAGTGAGACTCCGTCTCAAAAAAAAAAAAAAAAAAAAGTAAATTGGAGAGAAAGGCACCCGACCTAGATAAGGCATGCCAGAAACCACTGCAAATGGCTTTTGAATTTTCTGCTCCATTTATACAGATAATAGAACACGGGCTCTGTGCTGCTGCTGAATGCAGAGATTGTCTAGACCTGGGCCCCAGCCTTCGCTGACTCGGCCATGGCCTCCCATAGCCGTGCTGACCTCCTCCTGCTCAGCCCCGCATGCTCCACCAGAGTGCAAATGAGAGGGAATTACAGAATGATGCCCCTGGAAAGCAGGAGTGACATTTGCTCTTGGAGTTTGCTGGAGAAACAGCTGTGTCATCATTACCCATGCTAAGGAGGAAGGGACACAGAGGATCAGAAACAAATCATAATACAAACGTCGCTTCTCTTTGGCTGAGGAACGCATCTGTGATTTTCTCTTGGCAGATTTCCCTTCCAAATGTCTGGCTCGGGCTGATAATGAAATGAGTTCATGCTCCCTGCGCCTGCAGCGGCTGCTGGTCAGTCTGTGCTCGGAAACGTTCTGGGTGGCAGAACCCCTGGTTGGACATTTGCCATAAATAACCCAGGCGTGGGTAATTGAAAGCTGGCTGCAGATGGAGAGACAAGATAGACAGGGCTGGGTTTTAATGTGTTTAATTGGAGGAGATGGGGGAGAGTAAGGAAGAAGAAAAACAGATTCACTTTAGACCTGCTAAGAGCAGAGAAAAAACAGATCCAAGTAGAAACAGCCCGGGGAAGGTTAGGATCCTGGATCTGGAGCCCAGATAGCTGTGGCCATCCCAGCACAGAGTCAGCCATTATCCACGTTTTGTATCCGAGGGAGGTGCCCCCAACCTCCAGCTCCCAGCAGCAGAACCTTTTTGAGCCTATGCTTCTAGTCCTTGGGGCACACTAGGTAAATGGGGAGTTGGGGTCAAGCTAGGACAATACACATGGAGCTCATCAAATGAGTCTTGCCTTCCTATGGAGCAGCAGGCAATGGAGGATTGGCTTTAAGTCAAAGGCCCAGGGGAAAACAGCTCTAGCTTTAAATGTTTAAAGCATTTATTTCTTAGAAGACATAGACTTAATAATTTATTATTCATTACACAATATGAAGGGAGCAAGGAGAGCAAAGAGATGCCACAAGGGAATATCACGATTCCTTTTTTTTTTTTTTTTTTTGAGACAGGGTCTCACTCCCGCCACCCAGGCTGGAGTGCAATGGCACCATCACAGCTCACTGCAGCCTTGAACTCCTGGGCTCAAGTGATCCTCCTGCCTCAGCCTCCCAGGTAGCTAGGACTATTGGCTTGTACCACCACACCTGGCTAATTTTTATTTTTTTGTAGAGACAGGGTCTTGCTATGTTGACCAGGCTGGTCTCAAACGTCTGAACTCAAGCAATTCTCCCACCTCAGCCTCCCAAAGTGTTGGGATTACAGGTGTGAGCCATTACACCCAGCCCACTATTCCTTCTTATTTGTCTCTGGGCCACACTGACCCTCTGTCTCTTTCACAGCCTAGGTGGAACTTTTTTTTCTTTTTAAACGAAGTCCTTTTGATGGTGACTTACATCAGAGTCTGTTTTTTCTACTTGCTGCTTGTTAGGAGGCACCAGGTTTTGAATGTCCTACATCCTTTTTTTTCTGGGGGTTTCAGGGCAGCCAGTCTTCGTTTTCTGGATCTAACTAACCACACTTTTCACTTTGGGTGAGTTCACACTCAACACCCAGCTGATTTCAGTTAACAGGCTCTCAAGAGCAAAGTGTCTCTAAACAACTTAATTTTTTTAAAAGGCAGACTTATTTTAGTACATGACTACAATATATTACAAGTTTCAACCAGTACATGGGGCATATGAGTTAGACTGATATGTCCACATGGATACTTAGGGAGTGTTTCCTGGAAGCAGCCTGGAGCTATGGTTTAACAACAGAGAATCAGATGGCAGGGACAGAGAATCCTGGCCGGGAGAGAAAGCAGCCCTCTTAGCCCTGTGCTAATCTGGGAGGCTGGTGCAGGGGGAGGGTGGGGGATCGGGGGCAGCTGGGTCAGCATGAATGACTGAAGCTGGAACCACCCCTTCCTGGCCCCCAGCCAGGTCTCAGCTGCCCGCCTTCCGGGGCTGTGACTGTGGGGAGAGTTACCATCTTGTTTCTAACTTCAGAATATTTCCATAAAGTCAGTCCCAGGAGAGTGGGATTTTGTAGCCATTTCAGGGATGGTTGAGCTCCTAAGCATGTTAGAACCTCTTAGGAAGCCTAGTCTGAGAGGTGGGGCACCTGGCTGCAGAACCTCAAGTTCTCCTCCGTAAAATAAAGGGGACTTAGTGAAATGGTCTCAGAGCTCCCGTCCAGTTCTGCTCCTCCACTTCGCAGTTTCTGCACTGGAAATGTTTTAGTAGCTGGCCTCTTAATCCCGAGGAGTTAAGAAACAGATGATGATAAAGGCTCTACATTGCAGTTGCACATCCCTCTGTATTTTTGCCAGAGAGCTTTCTGGACACCCAGCCCCTTTGGTCCCCACAGGCCTGTGGGGGCACAGCGGCTGTCCCTCGTGTAGCTGAGGTCACCCCCTGCACTCTGATGGCCTCCCTGGCACACCTGGCTCTTGAGTCCTGACCCGGTTTCCTAGGGGCCTCTCCTGGTGTCTCACCCTCCTCGAAGGCCACCAGGCAGCACTGCATCACAAAGTCCCTGAGAGCAACATGCCCCAGCCCACTCCTCCCTGGAGCTTCGAGCTCACCATCTTATAGCCCCATCCCCCAGCCACCAGAGGAGCCTGGGACCTCTCCCCTTGAACATCAGCTTTACAGCCCGGCAGCCAGAGCTTAGCTCCCCACCCTGTGACCTCAGGAATCCTGTTCTCCCAGATGTCTCCGAAGACAGACAAAGAATGTGTGCAACTTGGTTTTGATGATATAAAGTATAATAATGACCATTTAATTGAACGTTGTAGTTAAGCATTTTCACCCACTATCTGAGCCACCACCTGCTGTTAGCCTGAGGTGGGAGGAGAGAGGCTCAAGGTGTCACTTTTTGGCTGCTCATCCATTTTCTAGAGGAGGCCCCTGTTAAAGAACAAGGGTTCCCTGGGAGGAGCCATCACCCTAGAGCCTGTGCCAGAGCCTAGTGTAGACTGATTCGTGGGTAAGTGGGCAGCAGGCCACGGGGGACCTGGCAGATGGGCTCTATCTGAGAGGGAGAAGGGGGCTGGAGCCCGAGATTCTCCGGGACAGTGGATCTCAGCCCTCGACATGCATCAGAATTGCCCAGGAAGCCCAGTCCCCGGAGGTGTGGTTGGGCCCAGGTACTGGGAGTTTCTCTTGAAAGCTCCCTGGAGAGTTGAACGTGCAGGAGGGTTGAGATCCCCGCCCTGGGTGATGACCAGGGCGTGATGTGGGGAACTAGGACAATGTTGGGGCATTGAGCTCTGACCATGGGAGTGTGAGGAGCTCTGGGAGGCCAGGAATACTGTTTTATCACCCAGAAACCTCTGGCTTGGAGCAGACTCCTCACCAGGCATTAGATGGACCAGAGTGCAGATGGATTTGTCTCCTGGTGTCAGAATTTGAAAGGTCTGCAACCTGACATGTAGACAAGACATGCCACTAAACTCACACAGGCTCCTCCAAGAACCCTTGGGCTTCCTCCCATAACAAGAAGAAAGGCAGAGCAGAAACATTCCCTGAGGCTGAACATCTGCAGCTGGAAAGAAGTGAAAGCCTTCCCAGGTCCTGCACTGTCAGGAGCTCAGGGACAGGTGTGGGACTGTTCTACATTATCTGACACCCACCTTTATCTCCTCTTTTCCAAAGAGATTGCGTCGAGTGCCTGCTGCTCCACTCTGGGAAACCTGACAACCAGACCTGCCACAGCCTATGCAGGGATGAGGTGATCACATGGGTGGACACCATCGGTGAGTGTGCTGCCACCACCCGGGCAGTCACGGTTTTTCTCCTTCCTGGGGAGGAGGGTAGTTTTAGCCTTGAGTCAGGAGGCACTGCCCAGGCTTCCTGGGCATAACTGTGGGCTCCCCATGAGGACCCGGTGCTGGAACCATCATCCACAGCTGATGGGAATGTAGAATGGTACGGACTTTGGAAAGCAGCTTGGCAGTTTCCTAAAAAGTCAAACGTAGAATCACCATACAATGTGCCAATTCCACTCCCAGGTATACAGCCTAGAGGATTAGGTCCATATGTCCATGTAAAAATACGTACAAAAATGTTCACAGCAGCATTATTCGCTATAGCCAAAGGTGGAAATGAACCACATGTCCATCAACGGATAAATAGAAAAGAAAACAAAGTGTGGTCCATCTATACAGTGGACACTATTGAGCCACTAAGAGGTGTGAAGCACTGAAACACGCTACGGCACGGTGAGGCCTGACCACAGTGCGGAGCAAAAGAAGCCATGTATTATATGGTTCTGTTCATATGAAATGTCCAACACAGAGAAAGCCATGGAGACAGAAAGTACATTAGTGGTGTCCTGATGCTAGGGAGAAGGGAAAATTGGCATTGACTACTAACAGGTGTGGATTTCTTTCTGTGGTGATGGAAATATTCAGAATTAGTGGGAATGGTTACACAACATTGTGAGTTGAGTAAAACGACTGATTGTACACTTTAAAATGGTTTAAATGGTGAGGGGGAAATTATGCACCTTGAAAGGGAATCTGTGTCTCAGGCTCCCCTCACTGGCAGGCTTCCCCTCTATCTTCACCTCTGGCTTCTGCAAACTCCTGGCCCCCAGCTGCCTGTCTGTCTTGGTCCTAACGTACATCTTTTGTAGACTTCCTTGTTCCCACCTGCCTATTTTGACTGACTACAGTCACGGCTTCTGAGGGTTTTTTGTCTCGAGACAGGGTCTCTGTCACCCAGGCTGGAGTGCAGTGGCACCATCATAGCTCACTGGAAGTCTCGACCTCCTGGGCTCAGGCAAACCTCTTTCCTCAGCCTCCCAAGTAGCTGGGACCACAGGCATGTGCCACCATGCCTGGCAAATTTTTGTTTTTGTAGAGACGGAGTTTCACCATGTTGCCCAGGCTGGTCTCAAACTCCTGGGGTCAAGCAGTCCACCTGCCTCAGCCTCCTAAAGTGCTGCCATTACAGGTGTGAGCCACCATGCCCAGCTCCTTCTTAATATTTGAGCTATATATGCATCCAGCACATATTCGTTGAGCGCCTACTGTGTGCCAGGTGCTGTCTATCTCCTTAGGAGACTGTGGGGAGTGGACCACAGTCTGGTTCCTCACATGCCTGTCTTCCTGCCCCTGCTTCTATCTTGCAGCTCAGGGCCTGGCCGACCTCAGGTTCTGCCAGCAGACCTGGGCTGGTTGCCCCTAACTAGGCACACATGGTCAGAGAAGGAAACAATGCCTTCCTGTGGCCCAAGGACTGGTTCGCTTGGTTTATAGCAGTGACAGCCGTTCATGCACAGCTGCTTCCCAACCCAGTCCTCTGAGAGAGCAGCAGAGAAAGCTTATGTTCCAATCCATCATTTACCCTTTTTCTTCTTTCTTCCAAGCTTTTTTCATACACACACTCACATGCTCACTCATACTCACCCAGCCCAGAAGGGAGCTGAGACAGAAAGTCCAGGCTTTCGTGTCTGATAACCACACTAATTCATCTGCTTCCAGGTTACAGCTCCGTCTAGCAGCAAGGTTGAAAAGGTTAAAAAGGCAAGAGCTGGAAAGCATTTACCGCCCTAGTGTTCACCTTCTGTTCCTCCCCAGGACCCATTGCCATTGCCACTGCATTTCCTCACCCCTTGCCTCACTTTGCACTTCCCCTAGTTCCTTTCTCTCCAAAAAACAGCCCGCTAACCCTCTCCCAGGGAAGCCTTGGAATGTAGGTAATGCCTGGACAGGGGACTGTGACACCCCCACCTTGGGGAATGGCAGCAAGGGGGCAGGGAGTTGCTGAGGCAGCTTGAGGAAGGGGCTTCTTAATATGGAGGAGGGAGGCCGGGCCACGTTCAGGGCCAGGCTGGGGACAGCCTGAGTTCCACACTGTCTCACTTTATCTCCAGGCATGGCCACCACGGTGGGCACCAGCCTCTCACCCAGTGTCCTCACTGCCCTGTGGTTCTTTTTGATTTTGCATCCCAGGAAGGAGTTGCTGCCTCTTGGCCTCTGTGGCCAGCTCTCAGCCCCAAGTGGCCTGGGCTGTTTCTCAAATATGAAGCCCCACTCAAGCCTCAAAGGGGGCTGGGATGGTTTTTCTTTCTTTCTTTATCCCTTTAATTTCCGTGGCCAATCCCTTCACCCGTCCCCACCCCGAAACCATTAAAACCTTCTGTTATTTCACATCACCCCCGACTAACACTTCAGAGGCTTGGAGATCCTCTAATGTGTTCCACGTGTCCCCAAAGCCATCTAAATTCAGCCCTGGGCCTGCATTCTTGGTGTGAGAAAACTGAACTCATCTTCAAAGGCCCAGCCTCCCCTTAAGATTTTCTGCCCACACCCCCCATGCCCTTTCCTTTTTCAAGGCACTCGGCTCCCTGCCCCGACCATCAGTGGCTGTGGGCTGCTCAGAGAGACTCAGGCCATTCCCGCTTGGTTTTCTTCCAGTGAAAGATGACCAGGAGGCTGTGCTATGTTTCTACAAAACCGCCAAGGACTGCGTCATGATGTTCACCTATGTGGAGCTCCCCAGTGGGAAGTCCAACCTGACCGTCCTCAGGGAGCCAGGTAGGTGAGGGCTGCAAGGGCTCGGCCCACTCAGCCAGCCCTCAG